>NC_000001.11:247093212-247244727 GCF_000001405.40 Homo sapiens | reverse complement strand
GGTGTCTATAGTTAACAAAACTGTACTGTATACCTTCAATTTGCTAAGAGGGTAGATCTTATGTTAAATGTTCATAAAAAATAACACAAAACCAACCAAGCAAACAAAAAGAACAGCAATAATAAAGGATGTAGAAGGTAACTTTGGGAAGTGATGTATATGTTTATGGCCATGATGGTGGTTATGGTTTTGTAGCATATACTTACCCTTAAATATGTACAACTTTTGATATGTCAGTCAAATCTTAATAAAATAGTTTTTCAGAAATCTGAATATATGGCCTGCTCATTGCTACTAGTGTCTCCTTGCCTTCACCATTTCAGTAAAGAAAGACAAGTTAAAAGTAGTAAGTTGGCCGGGCCCGGTGGCTCACGCCTGCAATCCCAGCACTTTGGGAGGCCGAGGCGGGCGGATCACCTCAGGTCGGGAGTTGAGACCAGCCTGACCAACATGGAGAAACCCCGTCTCTACTAAAAAAATACAAAATTAGCCGGGCATGGTTGCGCTTGCCTGTGATCCAGCTACTCGGGAAGGCTGAGGCAGGAGAATCACGTGAACCCGGGAGGTGGAGGTTGTGGTGAGCCGAGATGGCGCCACTGCGCTCCAGCCTGGGCGATGAGAGCGAAACTGCATCTCAAGAAAAACCAAACAAATAAACAAAAAAAGTAATTAGTTTATATTCCAATTTTCAGTTCTCAATGTGTTCGAGCTTATCCTACATGACACTGATATACATGCTAGGTCAAGTGGAAGTGGGGATTTAGTTTGGCTTAGTGTGATATAATCACATGAACACCCCAGGTTTACACATTGTGGATTACGACATTAAAAAGTGTTCAACTGAGGAGGTGTCGCTATTTACTTTGCTTTACTTGGTAAGTAAAGTAAGTACCTCTTTTTCCCTTTTGAGACTGCTTCTTACCAAAACAACCAGACATTGCCGTATTTCAAAGGTAATAGGAAAATTGCTCATCCGGGGAGAGGGGGAGAGATGAGGTAATGAGATTCTTTTTATATAACAGCAGCGTGGCTGTCCTCACATGGAAAAACACACTCTCAAAACCCTGCTTGGTAAGTGTTGCTTAGTTTTTCAGTCTGAGAAAGAGCGACAGTGAGGCAGCGGGAAAGAAATGTAGGTCTAGGACAATAATTTCAGTGACTGACTATTTAGGGTCTACCCAGGCACATGCAAGAGGCAGGATTTTCTCTTAAGGTACAGAATAACTTATAATAATGCTCAGAATCTAATAATATCTAATACTTTAGTTAATTTAGATTCAGTAGGCTTTATTTGTTTTTGGTTTTTGTTATTTTAACCCCCTCTGCTTTTGGAAAGAATAGTAGACTTTAGACAAAAGCTCACTTCAGCAATAATTTTTCTAGAAATGATTCTAGATTTTTATTTATTTATATTATTGATATCTTTTTACACTCCTGTTACTTTAAAACCTGAATGTGAGGTAGACTAAAAATGTGAATGTATTCAATTATTTTTGAATACTCAATTTATAGTTTCTTCTGCATAATAAATTTATACCAAATGAATCCCATAATGGTTCTTATGTTTATTTCTCCACAAAATAAAGGTCTATGTCTTCTTTCTCATTTGTTTCTCACTACATTCTTTGAAATATTGGGCACTTTATTCAATTCAAAATGCTCTAAGGATGTTGTGAGAAGAAAACAAAGTGATAGAATTATTTTCCATTTGTGATGTCATAGTGATTAGTATTTTCAAAAATGCATGGGATGGTACGGCATAGTGGCTCACATCTGTAATCCCAGAACTTTGGGAGACCAAAGTGGGAGGATTGCCTGAGCCCAAGAATTCAAGACTAGCTTGGGCAACACAGTGAGACCCCCGTCTCTATAAAAAGCTAAAAAATTAGTTGGGTGTGGTGATGCACACCTGTAGTCCCAGCTACTCAGGAAGCTGAGGTGGGAGGATTGCTGGAACCCAGGTGGTCAAGGCTGCAGTGAGCCATGATCATGCCACTATTCTCCAGCCCAAGCAACAGAGCACAATCCTGTCTCAGAAAAAAAAAAAAAAAAACAAAAACTGCATGAGAAATATAATTTTAACGAGTAACCATATTTTACCTTTTTCATCACTGTAATTAGTGACCAACTTCTTACTGTATCTTTCATATAACTTGAGATATCTTCTCCCTAGTGACTTAATTGATTTCACAGTTAGAAAAGTAATTCATATTTAGCTGGAAAACAATGTGACATCTCAACTCTAAATTTTATTGAAATATTTTTAGTGTTACTTTTAATTACCTAAAGTCACAAGACAATGAGTGATAAACTGTTGGTTTTGCTTTATTTTCTTGATAAATGGATGAGTAAATTAAAATTATTTTTAAAATTTCCTTTTGTTCAAAATATTTTATTGTGATAGAATTATAATGTATCTTCTTCTAAAAACTCAAATTTTTATTTAATCAATAAAATATTCTTTATAAAATAAAGTTAAATGATTTACCACAAATGTCAACCTGGTAGTTTGTGATTAGGTAATTCCATCATACTCTCTGTAATATGCTTTCAGAAAAGAAGAAAACTGGGGCAGGACCAAGAATAAGGTAAATAAAAGGCCAAGTCAAAATTACAGATATTTTTCTTTTATGTCTCCCAAGAATCAAATTTTAAAAAAAAACAGAAAACCTAAGTTGAAGAAAAATCTGCATTTAAGGATTTTACTGAGAAATTTTTCAGATATTCTTAAACATATTCAAAGTCAAAAATCCCTTTCTCTTTTTATGCTCAGGCATGTGCCAGCTTTTCCCATTAAGGAAGGAGGACAGTCTGACTCTGAGTCATCCTGCATTACAGATTTAAAATGCTTTTTTTCTTCTACTGACTCCTTTCTGACTCTTTGTCCTGACTTCCAGAAGGTGAGCATATTCTACTCCCTTTTGCTAACGAGATACAAGCAAAGTGAGGAGGTAAGACTTCGCAAACTTTTTGACAAAAAAATTCACACACTTTGCTCTCATTGTAATTTTTGTAGCAATCAGGAAAACATAGGCAAGATTGAAGTGTCAGCTTCCCATTCGAGTTGCATTCCATTTTTAGGAGAACTATTTCAATTTTCTCTATGTCTGTTTTCCTGCTTCTTCTCTACAATAACATATTAATAAATGACTTGGGATTGTAAAGACACTAGTAACAGGATATTACTACAAACTAAACTTCTATCTAATTCCATTGCCAAGAAGTGATAGTCTGGGCCATGGTTTGGGGACTCAGTTCTCATTCATTTATACCACAGTTTCTTTTTTTTTCTTTCTTTCTTTTTAGAGGTCATAATTCTATTTTATTAATATATATTTTTTATTATACTTTAAGTTTTAGGGTACATGTGCACAACGTGCAGGTTTGTTACATATGTATACATGTGCCATGTTGGTGTGCTGCACCCATTAACTCATCATTTACATTAGGTATATCTCCTAATGCTATCCCTCCCCACTCCCCCCACCCCACAACAGGCCCCAGTGTGTGATGTTCCCCTTCCTGTGTCCAAGTGTTCTTGTTGTTCAATTCCCACCTATGAGTGAGAACATACAGTGTTTGGCTTTTTGTCCTTGCAATTGTTTGCTGAGAATGATGGTTTCCAGCTTCATCCATGTCCCTACAAAGGACATGAACTCATCCTTTTTTATGGCTGCATAGTGTTCCATGGTGTATATGTGCCACATTTTCTTAATCCAGTCTATCATTGTTGGACATTTGGGTTGGATCCAAGTCTTTGCTATTGTGAGTAGTGCTGCAATAAACATATGTGTGCATGTGTCTTTATAGCAGCATGATTTATATTCCTTTGGGTATATACCCAGTAATGGGATGGCTGGGTCAAATGGTATTTCTAGTTCTAGATCCCTGAGGAATCGCCACACTGTCTTCCACAATGGTTGAACTAGTTTACAGTCCCACCAACAGTGTAAAAGTGTTCCTATTTCTCCACATCCTTTCCAGCACCTGTTGTTTCCTGACTTTTTAATGATTGCCATTCTAACTGGTGTAGGATGATATCTCATTGTGGTTTTGATTTGCATTTCTCTAATGGCCAGTGATGATGAGCATTTTTTCATGTGTCTGTTGGCTGCATAAATGTCTTCTTTTGAGAAGTGTCTGTTCATATCCTTCACCCACTTTTTGATGGGGTTTTTTTTTCTTGTAAATTTGTTTGAGTACTTTTTAGTTCTGGATATTAGCCCTTTGTCAGATGAGTAGATTGCAAAAATTTTCTCCCATTCTGTAGGTTGCCTGTTCACTCTGATGGTAGTTTCTTTTGCTGTGCAGAAGCTCTTTAGTTTAATTAGATCCCATTTGTCAATTTTGGCTTTTGTTGCCATTGCTTTTGGTGTTTTAGACATGAAGTCCTTGCCCATGCCTATGTCCTGAATGGTATTGCCTAGGTTTTCTTCTAGGATTTTTATGGTTTTAGGTCTAACATTTAAGTCTTTAATCCATCTTGAATTGATTTTTGTTTAAGGTGTAAGGAAGGGATCCAGTTTCAGCTTTCTACATATGGCTAGCCAGTTTTCCCAGCACCATTTGTTAAATAGGGAATCCTTTCCCCATTTCTTGTTTTTGTCAGGTTTGTCAAAGATCAGATAGTTGTAGATGTGTGGTATTATTTCTGAGGGCTCTGTTCTGTTCCATTAGTCTATATCTCTGTTTTGGTACCAGTACCATGCTGTTTTGGTTACTGTAGCCTTGTAGCATAGTTTGAAGTCAGGTAGCGTGATGCCTCCAGCTTTGTTCTTTTGGCTTAGGATTGACTTGGCGATGCGGGCTCTTTTTTGGTTCCATATGAACTTTAAAGTAGTTTTTTCCAATTCTGTGAAGAAAGTCATTGGTAGCTTGATGGGGATGGCATTGAATCTATAAATTACCTTGGGAAATATGGCCATTTTCACGATATTGATTCTTCCTATCCATGAGCATGGAATGTTCTTCCATTTGCTTGTGTCCTCTTTTATTTCATTGAGCAGTGGCTTGTAGTTCTCCTTGAAGAGGTCTTTCACATCCCTTGTAAGTTGGATTCCTAGGTATTTTATTCTCTTTGAAGCAATTGTGAATGGGAGTTCACTCATGATTTGGCTCTCTGTTTGTCTGTTATTGGTGTATAAGGATGCTTGTGATTTTTGCACATTGATTTTGTATCCTGAGACTTTGCTGAAGTTGCTTATCAGCTTAAGGAGATTTTGGGCTGAGACGATGGGGTTTTCTAGATATACAATCATGTCATCTGTAAACAGGGACAATTTGACTTCCTCTTTTCCTAAATGAATACCTTTTATTTCTTTCTCCTGCCTGATTGCCCTGGCCAGAACTTCCAACACTATGTTGAATAGGAGTGGTGAGAGAGGGCATCCCTGTCTTGTGCCTATACCACAGTTTCTTAATGATACTTTTTGTAGTCTCATTGTGGTTGCATATTTTATACGCAAATTTTCAAGTCTTTGCATTTCCCATATGTGGCTCATGCATTTCTTATGATTCTCTCCAGTTTTCCTGCTTATGAAATGACTATCACCAGTTGTCCTCTTGGCATAACAAAGCCCCCTTCTCACAGTGATAATTTTATCACCCAAACACATCCACTTTTTTCCATGAGACAGTAAACTAAGTTTTAAAAATGATGATGATATTTGCCAAAATGATTATGACAAAGTAGCTATTATTTTATGATTGACAGGATTCACTTTTAGGTCTTTGTATGCCTGACACTGATTTAAGTGCTTTATGCAGTTTTTATGTTTTACACTTTACAAGGTTCCTAGACAGGTGCATTATGTTCTGATTTAACAACCCAGGATATAGAAGCACACATCGTCATTTCCTTACGCTACACCATGTCCCACCACAGTCAACTCTGTCAAGCCTGGTCTGATTCTGCTGAGCAGCTGCCCTTACTTTGTTCTCCTTCCTTTTCTTGTGACCAGGAGCAGAGCCCAGGTAGTTGTGATGATGCTATGAATCCCACTATTGAGCATGACTGAGGACCAGGCTTGGTGCCCAGCACCGGCTAAATGGTCTTCCGTGGAAACAAGGGCTGCGTAGTCAGTCAAGGAAGGCCCTTGGTGCACATTGCCACTCTCCCGGCATGCTTCCAGGGTTTTCACCATCATGCATGGGGTCAAAGCTGCATTTACCACAATAAGTGCCCATGTTTGAATGTGAGAGTTTTAACTGTTTATAGACCTTAAGGTTTTGTTATTTTTCTGCAGAATCTATGTAAGCTACGTACCAAGATATATGTAAGAAGCTGCTCTGCCACTGTCAATAATAGTTACTGTTCAGTGAAAATCATTGAGTCATTTTATTTCTCCATCCCCAAGTGCACCAGGAAAGGAGCCCCAGAGAAGACGAGATAAAGATCGAAATGGTCCTGTTGAGTTAATTTACTTTTTCCACTTGCCCAACACATACTTTGATTTTGTTTGACAGATATCTATAGGTAGAAAAAGTTTGTGCACAGCAGAAATCCAAGCTCCTTCCTGCCCTTGAGGTACTTGTGGACATGTACAAGAGAAACCATCAGTTTTCCATCAAGAGGGCAAATGTTGCTATGGAGGAAAGCATAGATTTTGTGGGAGCCCAGGAAAGGGAACAGAGGGAGAACCACAGGGGTGGGAATGGGAGACGGACAGCAAGTATCTGGAGAATTACATGGTTGCGTTGAATATTTAGCAAAGAGTAATAAACTACTCAGATTTAATCGACATTTTTTATTCCAGATCACAGAGATTATTGAACATAATGATACTAATTAACAACATGGCAGAAATGTTCCTAATGCAATTATCATTTGATGTCTTATTTTTCTCTACAGATATCCTTTATTTGTTTTAATTTTCCATGGAAATGACCAAGCTTTTCAGCTATATTGTCATTAAAAATGTTTATTACCCTCAAGTCAGCTTTGGAATCTCAGCAAACACCTTCCTCCTTCTTTTCCACATCTTCACTTTTGCTTATACTCACAGGCTTAAGCCCATTGACATGACCATTAGTCACTTGCCCCTAATCCACATACTGCTACTCTTCACTCAGGCGATACTGGTGTCCTCCGACTTATTTGAATCATGGAATATTCAGAACAATGATCTAAAGTGTAAGATCATCACATTTTTAAACAGGGTGATGAGGGGAGTCTCCATCTGCACCACTTGCCTCCTAAGCGTGCTCCAGGCCATCACCATCAGCCCCAGCACCTCCTTCTTGGAAAAGTTTAAACATATTTCTGCAAATCACACCTTAGGCTTCATCCTCTTCTCATGGGTCCTCAACATGTTCATTACTAATAACCTTTTGCTTTTCATTGTGCCTACCCCGAATAGGATTGGGGCCAGTCTTTTGTTTGTCACTGAGCACTGTTATGTTTTGCCCATGAGCTACACCCACAGGAGCCTGTTTTTCATACTAATGGTTTTGAGGGATGTCATCTTCATAGGACTCATGGTCCTCTCAAGTGGCTATGGGTGATTATTTTGTACAAACAAAAGAGACTGTCCCAGCACCTACATAGCACCAGCGTCTCCCCAAGAGCCTCCCCAGCAAAAAGGGCCTCCCAGACCATCCTATTGTTGGTGAGCTGTTTTGTCTTCTTATATTGGGTGGACTTCATATTCTCATTTTCAGTGGTTGTGACATGGATAAACGACCCTCTACTGGTATGATTCCATATGCCTGTGGTCAATAACTATGCCATAATTAGTCCTTTAGTCTTAACCTATGCTGATAACAAATATTCAAGATTGTTCAGACTCTTTGGAGGAGAATAATTAAGGTTTATCAAAAGTGATGAAAATTTACAACTAGAAATGCATTTGATAGTCCCCCAAATAGTTTTACATGTTGCATAGGGTATTTCTCTGAATACATTCATTCAAGGTTATTACTAACCCTGTGTTATATCAATCATAACGATCTTTGTAATATGATTAATATGATTAGCAAATGCAATTGAGTAAATTGTGCACATCAGTCATATGTCTACAGGATTTTTGTTTCTTTGCTTTCTTTCTTTTTATTTTTTTGAGACGGAGCCTCGCTCTGTCACCCAGGCTGGAGTGCAGTGGCGCCATCTCGGCTCACTGCAAGCTCCGCCCCCCCGGGTTCCCACGAGGCGCCCTTCCCACCAGGCGCCCGCCACCCTGGTTCCCACCAGGCGCCTGCCACCACACTGGGCTAATTGTTTGTATTTTTAGTAGAGACGGGGTTTCACTATGTTAGCCAGGATGGTCTCAATCTCTTGACCTCGTGATCCGCCCACCTCGGCCTCCCAAAGTGCTGGGATTACAGGCGTGAGCCATTGCGCCCGGCCACACTATTCTTGTTTGTATATAAATATCCCGTTTTATTTATCACACTTTTTTGATCTCCCACATGTATCTGCATTTCCCAATTTTGTTATGTTTTTATTTTTACTTATTTCTATATATTTTTTTGAGACAGGGTTTCTCTCTGTCCCTCAGCCTGGGGTGCAATGGCACAATCATGGCTCACTGTTCCCTCGACCTCCTGGGCTCAAATGATCCTCCCACCTCAGCCTTTGAATAGCTGGGATTACAGGCACACGCCACCACACCTGGCTAATTTAAAAAATTTTTTTTGTAGAGACAGGGTCTCGCTGTGTTGCCGAGGCTGGTCTCAAACTCCTTGGGCTCAAGGAATCCTCCTGCAATCCTCCTGCCTTGGCCTCTCAAAGTGTTGGATTATAGGTATGAGCCATCCCTCCTGATCTCACTTTATCATTTCTATAAAATTCAAAGTCTTTATTTCAAATATTGTATCTTTGTTTTCCCTCTTTTCTACTTCTGAATTTTCAACATGATTTAAATTAGACCTGCTCATTTTATTATTTGTATCTCCTAATCTCTTTCATATATTTTAGATCTCTCTGCTTTCTCAGTTGCATTCTAAACATTTTATTCAGCCATGTAGCTTAGTTATCATTTTACCTGAAGTCTGTATCAACTGCCATTTAACAATTCAATTTATTTTCATAGCTGTGATGCCAGTTTATTTTTTATATTTTTTATGTTGATACATAATATGTGTACATATTTATGGCATATGTATAATATTTTGTTATATGCATATAATGTGTCATGATCAAGTTGATGTATAGGGTATTCATCAACTCAAATTTTTATTTGTAATTTTACAAAAAAATTTTTGGAGATAGGGTTTCACTCTGTCACCCAGGCTGGAGTGCAGTGGAGTAATCATGGCTCACTGCAGTCTCGACCTCCTGGGCTGAAGAAATTTTCCCACCTCAGCCTCCTAAGTAACTGGGACTGCAGGCACATACCACCACACCTGGCTAATTATTATTATTATTCTTGTAGAGATGGGATATCACTCTTGCTCAGGCTAGTCTCAAAATCCTGGCCTCAAATATCCTACTCCCTTGACCTCCCAAAGTGCTGGGATTACAGGAATGAGCTAGAGTGTCCAGCCTGTTTATTATTTGTATGTGTTGGAAACCTTTCAGTTCTCTCTCAAAGCTATTTTGAAATATACAATACATTGTTATATATAGTCAGTTACTCTGCTATCAAATATTAAAACATTTCTTATATCTAACTGTATGTTTGTACCCATTAACAACCTCTCTTCTTCCATCAACAACCATCTACGCACACTTCTCAGTCTCTGGTAGCTATCATTCTTCTCTCTATCTCCGTGAGATCAACTTTTTTTGCTCCCATATGTAAGTGAAACTATTCAATATTTGTCCTTCTGTGCCTGGCATACATCACTTAACATAATGACATCCATTTACATCTGTGTTGCTGCAAATAACAAAATTTCAGTTTTTTTAAAGGCATAATAGTACTTTATTGTGCACATACCCTACATTTTCATTCACTGATGGACAATTTGGTTGATCTCATATCTTTGCTATTGTAAATACTGTTGCTATAAACATGCAAATGTAGGCATCCCTTTGATATATGGATTTCCTTTTCTTTTGATAAATACCCAGTAGTGGGATTGCTAGATGGTATGGTAGTCCTATTTTTAGTTAGTTTTGTTTGTTTGTTTGTTTGTTTTTGGGTTTTTTTGGTGACATCTCCATACTGTTTTCCATAGTGGCTGTACTGACTTACATTGCCACCAACAGTATATAAGTTTTCTTTTCTCCACATTCTTGCCAACGTCTCTTGTGTTTTCCTTTTAATAACAGTCATTCTAACTGGGGTAAGATGATATCTCATTCTGGTTTTGACTTATATTTCCCTTGTGACTGGTAATGTTGAGCATTAAAAAAAAAAAACCTGTTAGCCATTTGCATTTCTTCTTTTGAGAAATGTCTATGTATGTCCTTTGCACACTTTTTAATGTGATTGCTTTTTACTATTTGAGTATATTTTGGATGTTAGTTCTTTATCAGATGAATAGTTTGCAAATATTTTCTTCCATTCAACAAGTTGTTTCTTTGCTCCATTGATTGTTTCCTTTGCCATGTAGAAGTTTTTTTATTTAATAATATTTTCCCATTTGTCTGCTTTTGTTTTTGTTTTCATTTTCATTGTGTGTGTTTTTGATGTCTTAGCCATAAAATATTTGCCTAATGTTCTGAAGTGTTTTCTGTGTGTTTTTATCTAATAGTTTTATAGTTTCAGGTCTTATGTATAAGTTCATAATTCATCTTCAGTTTATTTTTGTATATGGTGAGAAATAGGGGTCCAGTTTCATACTTTTGCATGTAGATATCCAGTTTTCCCAGCACCATTCATTGAAAATAATGTCCAACACCCAGTGTATGTTCTTGGAGCCTTTGTGGAAAACCAGTTGGCTGTAAATACATGGATTTATTTCTCTGTTCTATACTCTGTTCCACTGGACTATGTGTCTCTTTTAAACTCAACCATGCTATTGTTGTTACTTTTGCCTTGTAATCTATTTCATTTACTTTTCTTTTTCTTTTTCTTTCTTTTTGTTTTAATTTTTGTGGGTACATAGTAGGTATACATATTTATGAGGTACATGAGATGGGGTTTGATACAGGCATGCAATGTGAAATAATCACAGCATAGAGAATGGGGCATCTATCCCCTCAAGCATTTATCCTTTGAATCACAAACAATCCAATTACACCCTTTAAATTATTTTAAAATGTACAATTAAATTATTATTGACTATAGCCACCCTGTTATGGCATCAAATAGTAGGTCTCGTTCATTGCTTCTAATTATTTTTTGTATCCATTAACAATCCTCACCTCCCCCCAACACACATCCCTCAGTGACCCTTCCAGTCTCCGGAAACCATCCTTCTACTCTCTATCTCCATGGATTCAATTGTTTTGATTTTTAGATCTCACAAATAAGTGAGAACATGTGACATTTATCTCTCTGTGCCTGGCTTATTTCATTAAACACAATGATCTCCAGTTCCATTCATGTATTCATGTTGTTGCAAAGGACTAGATCTGATTTTTTTTTTTTTTTTTGCTTAATAATACTCCATTGTGTATATGTACCATGTTTTTTAAGATTTATTTTTTATTTAATACGTTTTTGGGGAACAGGTGGTGTTTGGTTACATGAATAAATTCTTCAGTGGTGATTTCTGAGATTTTGGTGCACCCATCACACAAGTAGTGTACACTGTACCCAATGTGTAGTCATTTATCCCTCATCCCCCTCCCACCCTTTCCCTGAAGTTCCCAAAGTCCATTGTATCATTCTTATTCCTTTGTGTTCTCATAGCTTAGCTCCCACTTATGAGTGAGAACATACGATGTTTGGTTGTCCATTCCCGAGTTATTTTACTTAGAATAATAGTCTCCAATTCCATTCAGATTGCTGCAAATGCCATTATTTCATTCCTTGTTATGTCTGAGGTAGTATTCCATGGTATATATGTACCACATTTTCTTTATCCATGCGTTGGTTGATGGGACATTTTTTTCTGCAATTGCAAATTGTGCTGCTATAAACATGCATGCGCAAGTATCTTTTTCGTATAATGACTTCTTTTCCTCTGGGTAGATACCCAGTAGTCGGATTGCTGGATCAAATGATAGATCTACTTTTAGTTTTTTAAGGAATCTCCACGTTGTTTTCCATCCTGGTTGTACTAGTTTACATTCCCACCAGCAGTGTAAAAGTGTTCCCATTTCACCACATCCTTGCCAACATATATTATTTTTTGATTTTTTTATTATGGCCATTCTTGCAGGAGTGGGGTGGTATTGCATTGCGGTTTTGATCTCTATTTCCCTAATAATTAGTGATGCTGAGCATTCTTCCATGTGCTTTTTGGCCATTTGTATATCTTTTTTTGAGAATTCATCTCCTTAGCCCACTTTTTGATGGGATTATTTGTATTGTTCTTGCTGATTTCTTTGTAGATTCTGGATATTAGTCTTTTGTCACATGTAGAGATTGTGAAAATTTTCTCCCACTCTGTAAGTTGTCTGTTAACTCTGCTGATTCTTTTGCTGTGCCGAAGCTTTTTAGTTTAATTAAGTCCCGCCTATTTATCTTTGTTTTTGTTGCATTTGCTTTTGGGTTCTCGGTCATGAAGTCTTTGCCTAAGTCAATGTCTAGAAGGATTTTACGTTTTTTTATGGTGCCAATTTAAGACAGTTTTTATTTAAGACACTATATTTTCCAGTTAAAATACAGTATTTATAAAGTGCAATGTTATTTCCTTCCCCTGTGCATATGTTCCATATTCAAGTATTGAGACTACCCAGTTACTTACTATATTAGCTGAACTTTTTTAAACTGCCACAGAATTTGCTACAAATTTAGGTCCTTCAGTGTTTCAAAATGTGTGGAACAATGCTACATCTATAGTTGGGTTGGCTTAATCAACCTCTTCAATGGTGGGCCCTGAGGAAGCACCATCAGAGGGAGGAGCTCCACCATCAGGGAATCCCCCAGGCATTCTTCCTGGCACGCCTCCTGCAGTCTGGTATACTTGGTAATGATGGAGTTGCAGACTTTCTCCAGCTCTTCCTGCTGATGTTCAAATTCTTCCTTCTCAACAGTCTGATTTTTATCGAGCCAGCTGATAGTTTTATTACACTTGTCCAGAATCTTCTGTTTGTCTTCATCATTAATCTTGCCTTGAAGTTTCTCATCTTAGACAGTTGCTTTCTTGTTGAATGCATACGACTCAAGTGAATTCTTAGATGACACTTCATCCCTCTGCTTCTCATCTTCAGCTTTGTACTTCTCAGCTTCCTGGACCATACATTCAATGTCTTCCTTGCTCAAATGGCCCTTGTCATTAGTGATAGTAATCTTGTTCTCTTTTCCTGTACTCTTGTCCACAGAAGAGACATTGAGGATGCCATTGGCATCAATGTCAAAAGTGACTTCAATCTGAGGAACACCACGGGGTGCAGGAGGTATGCCTGTGAGTTCACACTTGCCACGCAGGTTGTTATCCTTGGTCGTGGCACGCTCACCTTCATAAACCTGTGAATAAGCACACCAGGCTGGTTGCCAGAATAGGTAGTGAAGGTCTGTGTCTGCTTGGTAGGAATGGTAGTATTACGCTTGATGAAGACAGTGGTGACTCCACCAGCAGTTTCAATACCAAGGGAAAGAGGAGAGACATCTAAGAGGAGCAACTCTTGAACATTTTCAGACTTGTCTCCAGATAGGATGGCTGCCTGAACAGCTGCACCATAAGCAAGAGCTTCATCAGGATTGATGCTCTTATTCGGTTCTTTTCCATTGATGAAGTCTTGGAGAAGCTTCTGAATCTTGGGGATATGAGTAGAACCACCAAACAGGACAATATCATGAATCTTTGACTTGTCCAGTTTGGCATCTTGAAGGGCTTTCTCTATGGGGTCTAGGGTGCTATGGAACAGGTCAGCATTCAATTCTTCAAATCGGGCACAGGCAATGGACATATAGAAGTTTATTCCTTCATAGAGAGAATCGATCCCAATACTGGCCTGGATGCTGGAAGAGAGAGTACACTTAGCATGTTCATAAGCAGTATGGAGGCATCTTACAGCTCTCTTATTCTCACTGATGTCCTTCTTATGCTTGCTCTTGAACTCAGCAATAAAATGGTTGACATTCGGTTGTCAAAGTCTTCTCCACCCAAGTGGGTGTCTCCAGCTGTAGATCTGACCTCAAAGATTCCATCCTCAATAGTGAGGATTGACACATCAAAAGTCCCACCTCTCAGGTCAAAGGTCAGCACATTTCTTTCAGCTCCAACCTTTTTGTCTAAGCTGTAAGCAGTAGCAGCTACAGTTGGCTCACTGATACTTCTAAGTACATTGAGACCAGCAATAGTTCTAGCATATTTGGTAGCCTGATGCTGAGGGTCATTAAAGTAAGCTGGCACTGTGACCACAGCATTGGTAACCATATTCCCAAGGTATGCTTCTGCAATTTCCTTCATCTTTGTCAGAACCATAGAGGGTACCTCCTCTGGGTAGAAGCTTTTGGTCTCTCCCTTGTATTCCACTTGGACCTTGGGCCTGCCAGCATCATTCACCACCATGAAGGGCCAATACTTCATATCAGGCTGGACAACAGCATCATCAAATCTGCATCCAATTAGATGTTTGGCATCAAAAAACCATGTTGGTGGGGTTCATTGCAACTTGATTCTTTGTGGCATCACCTATCAATCGTTCAGTGTCTGTAAAGGCAACATAGCTTGGAGTGGTTCGGTTTCCCTGATCATTGGCAATTATCTCTACTTTCCCGTGCTGGAAAACACCCACACAAGAGTAGGTGGTGCCAATATCAATATCAACTGCAGTTCCCTTCAACATGATTGCTGGTATGTAGGCCTGTCTCTGGCTACAAAGAAAGACACAGAAACCCTGAGAGCTGCAGGTGAGTTCAATGACAGAAGGGTTTTTTCTGATGTCATCTTGTAGAAGCTTTATGGTGTCAGGTCTTTGATTTAAGTCTTTGATCCATCGTGGATTGATTTTTGTATAAGGGGAGAGGTGAGGATCCAGTTTCATTCTTCTACATGTGGCTTGCCAGTTATCCCAACACCATTTGTTGAATAGGGTGTCCTTTCCTCACTTTATGTTTTTGTTCAGTTTTTTGAAGATCAGTTGGCTGTAAGTATTTGGCTTTACTTCTGGGTTCTCTATACTGTTCCATTTGTCTATGTGCCTATTTTTATACCAGTACCATGTTGTTTTGGTGACTATGGCCTTACAGTATAGTTTGAAGTTGGGTAATGTGATGCTTCCAGATCTGTTCTTTTTGCTTCTTCTTGCTTTGGCTATGCAGGGTCTTTCTTGGTTTTCAAGTGATCCTCCTGCCTTGGCCTCCCAAAGTTCTGGGATTACAGGCATAAGCCACTACACCCAGGATTTGCCCACTTTTAAATGAGGTTTTTGAGGGGTTTTCTTGTTGTCGTAAATTTGAGTTCCTTACAGATGATGAATATTAGACTTTTGTCAGATGCATAGTTCACAAGTATTCTCTCCCATTCTGTAGATTGTCTGTTCACTCTGTTGATAGTTTCTTTTGCTAGGCAGAAGCTCATAAGTTTAATTAGATCCCATTTGTCAATTTTTGCTTTCGTTGTGATTGCTTTTGGCATTTTCATCATAAAAATTTTGCTCATTTTTATGTCCAGAATAGTATTGCCTAGGTTGTCTTCCAGGGATTTTATAGTTTTGGGTTTTACATTTAAGTTTTTAATCAATCTTGAGTTAATTTTTGTATATCTTGTAAAAAAAGAGGTCCAGTTTCAGTCTTCTGCATGTGGCTATCAGTTATTCAAGCACAGTTTATTCAATAGGGAATTCTTTCCCTACTGCTTGTTTTTGTCAGCTTTGTTGAAGATCAGATGGTTGTAGGTGTGTGGCCTTATTTCTGGGCGTCTATTCAGTTCCACTGGTATGTGTGTCTGTTTCTGTACCAGTACCATGCTGTTTTGATTAATGTAGCCCTCCTCTATAGTTTAAAGTTGAGTAGTTTGATCACTATAGCTTTGTTCTTTTTGCTTAAGATTGCCTTAGCTATTCCAGTTCATTTCTGGTTCTGTATGAATTTTAAAATAGCTTTTTTTCTAGTTCTGTGGGGAATGTCATTGTTAGTTTAATAAGAATAGCATTGAACCTGTAAATTGCTTTTGACAATATGGCCGTTTTAGTGATACTGATTCTTCCTATCCATGAGCAGGGAATTGTTACTGTTGAGGGTAGTTGTCCAGATTCTTGGCATTTTGAACAAAGAATTGGACAAAACATGCAAACAAAACAAGGCAGCAAAAGCAGAGATTTATTTTAAATGAAAGTACACTCCACAGAGTCAGGGGAGGCTCAAGCAAGCAGCTCAAGAGCGTTAGTTACAGAATATTTTGGGGTTTAAACGCCCTCTAGAGGTTTCCCATTGGTTCACTCTATGCAAATAAAGTAGTGGGCCATGACCAGTCTGATTGGTTGTGGAAAGGGACCAATCAGAGGTACTTTCATTTTCCAACTGCCACGCAGCAACTGCCACAAAGAGAAAGGAGGAATTGAAAGGGGAATAGCCTGTGATATTCAGTCAGCATGAATCAGCCTTAGGTTCCCTGCCTCCAGACCCTAGTCTCCTGCCTCAGAATGTTTTTCCATTTGTTTGTGTTATCTCTGATTTCTTTGAACAGAGCCAAACCATATCACATGGGGTGCATGATTGTTCTTGGTGTCCACTGATTTTTTTTTTTCCAATGCAGCTGCTGGTGCAATTTTCACATTACCCTGTGAGAAATACTTGGATCTTGTAAGCTAACACCAAGAACAATCATGCACCGCGTGTGATATGGTTGGGCTCTGTGTCCCCACCCAAATCTCATCTGAAATTGTAATCCCCACATGTCAAGGGAGGGATTACAATTGGGCAAAGGGATTATTGAATCATGGGGATGGTTTCCCCCATGCTGCTCCTGTGATGGTGAGTGAGTTCTCACAAGATCTAATGGTTTTATAAGTGTTGGAAGTCCCTCCTTCACTCCTTTCTCTCTCCTGCTGCCATGTAAGACATGCCTGCTTCCCCTTCCACCATGACTGTAAGTTTTCTGAGGCCTCCCCAGCCATGCGTAACTGTGAGTCAATTAAACCTTTTTATTTTATAAATTACCCAGTCTTGGGTAATTCTTTATAGCAGTGTGAAAATGGACTAATACCCCATGTGAGTATTTGGAACCTTACAAGTACACCTGGTAAGGGCTCAGAGCCAGATGGTTTCATTTGCTCTCTCGTGCTGCTCTCTGACTGGTAGAAAAATTGGTGAATCACAAAAACATATTTAAAATGGCAACTATGTGAGGCTTGCAAATATGGGAAAGTGAACAAAAAAAGTAATATTTAAAAAGTAGAACACAAAAGAGTTTGCACAGTCTTATTTAAGCTATGCCATACATGTTCATAAACAAGTTTGAAAGAGAATTTGAAAATTATTACAATTTTCAGATAAAATCTATTCTTTCAGTTTAAGTTTAAAAGCATGCATTTAGAAATAAATTGATATGTAAAAAATAAATCTTAGCCATCCAAAAACTTCAAATATCCCAAACAAGTCTTTTTTTAAAGGTGCATGTAAGTCAGATTTTACTATACTTTGAAAAATTGTAATAAATAATGCAGTTGACAAAATAATCTACACTGACATAGAAATAAGCAATTTTCTTATTATTATACTTTAAGTTCTAGGGTACATGGGCACAACATGCAGGCTTGTCACATAGGTATACATGTGCCATGTTGGCTTGCTGTACCCATCAACTTGTCATTTACATTAGGTAATTGTTATAATACTATAATCACTCATAATTATATAATATTGTACGTATTATTACATATGTATGCAGGTCCTCCACTAATGTTATCAATTCCTGGCCAAGGCCACTGTCTGTATAGAGTTAACAGTTTCTCTCTTTGTCTCTGTGTGTGTTTTCTCCAGGTATTCCAGTTTTCCCCCACAACCCAAAGATGTGCACATTAGGTTAATTGGCATGTCTACATTGTCCCAGTAAGAGTGAGTGTGGGCCAGGCATGGTGGCTCATGCCTGTAATCCCAGCACTTTGGGAGGCCGAGGTGGGCAGATCACCTAAGGTCATGAGTTTGAGACCAGCCTGGCCAACATGGTGAAACCCCGTCTCTACTAAAAATATAAAAATTAGCTGGGCCTGGAGATGTGTTCCTGTAGTCCCAGCTACTGGGGAGGCAAAGGCAGGAGAATTGCTTGAACCCGGGAGGTGGAGGTTGCAGTGAGCCAAGATCATGCCATTGCACTCCAGGTTGGGTGACAGATCGAGACTCCATCTCAAGAAGAAAAAGAATGAGTGTGGGTGAGGGTGTGAATGTGCCTTACAATGAAATGGAGTCTTGTCCAGGATTAGTTCCTACCTTGCACCCTGAGCTGCTGGGATGGCCTCTGGCTACTTGTGACCCTGAACTAGAATTAGTAATGTGGGAAATGAATGAATGAATTTATAAAACATATTATAAAATCAATATCTGGCCGGGCGCGGTGGCTCACACCTGTAATCCCAGCACTTTGGGAGGCCGAGGCAGGTGGATCACAAGGTCAGGAGATCAAGACCATCCTGGCTAACACGGTGAAACCCCGTCTCTACTAAAAAATACAAAAAATTAGCCAGGCATGGTGGCAGGCGCCTGTAGTCCCAGCTACTAGGGAGGCTGAGGCAGGAGAACGGCGTGAACCCGGGAGGCAGAGGTGGCAGTGAGCCGAGATTGCACCACTGCACTCCAGTCTGGACGACAGAGCAAGGTAAGGGCTCAGAGCCCCCAAAAAACAAAAAAAAAAACAAAAAACAAAAATCAGTATTTGTAAAGTACGTAATAACCATGCAAATGCACAACAATGCACAATGCAGTAATGGAGTACAGAAGCGCTCTGCTGACATATTTTCTATTTTGAACCCTGAGGTGGTAGGAGGTGCTCTTTGCAATATTTGATTTGCTAACATTTATTCATTCATTTAACCCATCACCACTATGACCACCATCACTTACTGACTCACTAAGAATTGGGTAAGTAATTATCTTACATGTTCATAGTGGTGTGTTCATAGCTCACTGTAAACTCAAACTCCTGGGCTCAAGAGATCTTCCTGCCTCAGCCTTACAAGTAGCTCTATTAACCTTTCTTAAATGTATCTATAGCTCTCATTTATTTCAATGTTTAATATAATAAGTGTTTTGGATCTTTATTTAGAAACTTGGTGATGTTTTTGTTACCAGAAATATGCTATAGGAACTTAACTCCTTTCAATATCAATTAGCTTTCAGTAAAATTGGTTTAATGATACACATTTTTGCTTAAAGTCCCAGTTTCTGAGAACCTACTGATGATTTAAGTAAGAACTTACTGTACTACTGAACATCTACAATAAGGCATTGCTATAAGCACTTTTTATCCATTACCTTTCAAGAATTCTCTCTGAGGTAGGTTTTAGTGTCTTCGATTTAGAGGGCTAATTCATAAACAATATATAGAATTAAATAAGAAACTAAAACATGAAAGACATCCAAAAATACAATGTTGAATTAAAAATGAAGTTACAGAAGCATAGATAGTGGACACCTTTATATAAAGTTGGGTATATACCCAGTAATGGGATTGCTGGGTCAAATGGTCAAATTGCATTTCTCTAATGATCAATGATGTTGAGCTTTTTTTCATATGTTTGTTGGGTACATAAATGTCTTGTTTTGAGAAGTGTCTGTTCATGTCCTTTGCCCACTTTTTGATAGAATTGTTTCTTTTTTTCTTGTAAATTTAAGTTCCTTGTGGATTCTGGATATTAGAGCTTTGTCTGATGGGTTGATTGCAAACTTTTTCTCCCATTCTGTAGGTTTTCTGTTCACTCTGAAGATAGTTTCTTTTTTTGCTGTGCAGAAGCTCTTTAGTTTAATGAGATCTAGTTCTTTTAGTTTTGATGTTAGGTTGTTGATTTGAGATCTTTCTAGCTTTTTGATATGGGCATTTAGTGCTATAAATTTCCCTCTTAACACTGCTTTAGTTGCATCCCAGAGATTCTGGTACATTGTCTCTTTGTTCTTATTAGTTTCAAAGAACTTCTTAATTTCTTCCTTAATTTCATTATTTACCCCAGAGTCGTTCAGGAGTAGGTTGTTCAATTTCTATGTAGTTGTGTGGTTTTGAGTGCGTTTCTTGAGTTCTAATTTGATTGTGCTGTGGTCTGAGAGATTGCTTGTTCTGATTTCAGTTCTTTTGCATTTGCCAAGGAGTGTTTTACTTATGATTATGTGATGAATTTTAGAGTCAGTGCCATGCCTGGTGATGAGAAGAATGTATATTCTGTTGTTTTGAGTGAAGAGTTCTGTAGATATTAATCAGGGCCACTTGGTTCAGAGCTGAGTTCAAGTCCTGAATATCTTTGTTAATTTTCTGTCTCAATAATCTGTCTAATATTATCAGTGGGGTGTTAAAGTCTCCCACTGTTATTATGTGGGAGTCTAAGTCTCTTTGAAGGTCTCTAAGAACTTGTTTTATGAATCTGGGTGCTCCTGTATTGGGTGCATATATGTTTAGGATAGTTGGTTCTTGTTGAACTTTACCATTACGTAATGCCCTTCTTTTTCGATGTTTGTTGGTTTAAAGCCTGTTTTGTCAGAAACTAAGATTGTGAGCCCTGCTTTTTTCTATTTTCAATTTGCTTCGTAAATTTTCCTCCATCCCTTTATTTTGAGTCTATTTTTGTCTTTGCATGTGAGATTGACTCTTGAAGACAGTATACCAATGTGGCTTGATTCTTTATCCAGCTTGCCATTCTGTGTCTTTTAACTGGGGCACTTAGCACATTTACATTTAAGGTTAATATTGTTATTTGTGAAATTGATCCTGTCATCATGATGCTAACTGGTTATTTTGCAGACTTTTTTGTGTGGTTGTGTCATAGTTTCACTGGTCTCTGTACTTCAGTGTGCTTTTGTGGTGGCTGGTACTGGTTTTTCCTTTCCACATTTAATGCTTCTTTCAGGAGCTCTTGCAAGGGAGGCCTGGTGGTGTAGTCCCTCAGCATTAGCTTGCCTGAAAAGGATCTTATTTCTCCTTTATTTATGAAGCATGGTTTGGCTGGATATGAAATTCTGGGTTGGAAACTCTTTTCTTTACAAATATTTAATATTGGCCCCCAGTCTCTTCTGGCTTCTGCTGAGAGCTCTGTTGTTAGTCTGATGGGCTTTGCTTTGTACATGACCTGGCCTTTCTCTCTGGCTGCCCTTAACATTTTTTCTTTCATTTCAACTTTGAATAATCTGATAATTATGTGTCTTGGGGTTGATCTCCGAATGGAGTATCTTACTGGGGTCCTCTGGATTTCCTGAATTTGAATGGTGGCCAGTCCTGCTAGGTCGGGAAAGTTCTCCTGGATGATATCCTGAAGTATGTTTCCCAACTTGGTTTTGTTCTCCCCATCTCTTTCGGGCACCCCATTCAGTCACAGATTTGGTCTTTTACATAATCCCATCTTTCTTGGAGGTTTTGTTTGTCCCTTTACATTTTTTCTCTATTCTTGTCTGCCTGTCTTATTTCAGAAAGATAGTCAAGTTCTGAGATTCTTTCCTCCACTTGATTACAGTAAGGTGTGTGCCTCATTTCGACATGCTGTGATCTGCTGGCTGCCTGGAATTGGCTGAAGCTCAGTGCTTGTGACTGGCTGAGACCCAGCTATCTATACCAAAAAATACACTCCTAAATTGGGTTTTCGTTTATTTGCATACTAAGTTAGGTTGTAGTTTATTACACAGGAACTGAAAGTAGAAAGACAGCATTGGGACAATGGTCTTCCACTTATTTCATTTAACAATTTCTCCCTTGTGATCAGTCTCTCAATTTTGAGACTGGCATGGTCTGATTTAACGAGGATTCCATCTTTATCTTTAGCCTGGTAACACAAGTCATAGAAGCCTGGAGACCCACTCACTAGAAAAAAAACATAAATATTAAAAAAAAAACGTTTAAAGTTAAGCTTGTCATCCACCATTTAGAATGCCCACAAGCAAACTATTAGCTTTTCCTATAAACACATCCATATTCCCTTTTTAGTGTATTTATTATCAGTGTCTTAAGAAACAGGATATCAGCCACCTTTTAAATTAAGCTTTCTGTAGTAGCAAAATCAGGGGAAGAAAAATACAATATTCAGTATTGTTTAGCACCATGTACAACTGTCCAACAGAGTCAAAGAGGAGATGTAAAATTGTACCATGTCTCATTAAGTGCTTCTGGTGAACACATGCTATCATTCACCTTTTGGAGGATGGCTTCGACCTGTCTGAAGCCCTGGGATGTCTGGTTGACCACACAATTTAAGAATTTCACGAACGTATAAATTAGTTTCAAATTCCACACAACTGGTAACCCACTGCCAACAGGAGTGAGCCGCTAGGTTCGCCTCCACTGAAGAATCTTTCTTCAGTAAAAAGTAGCTCATCTTCATCTATTTAAAGGTATCTAGGAGGTGGCTCACACCTGTAATCCCAGCACTTGGGGAGGCTGAGGTGGACGGATTCCTTGAGGTCAAGAGTTCAAGACCAGCCTGGCCAACATGGTGAAACCCCGTCTCTGCAAATAAAAACAAACAAACAAACAAAAAAACAAAATATATATATTAGCTGGGCATATATATAGCTGGGCACACACTGGCAATCCCAGCTACTCAGGAGGCTGAGGCAGAAGAATCACTTGAACTTGGGAGACGAAGGTTGCAGTGAGCCGAGATCATGCCACTGCACTCCAGCCTGGGTAACAGAGTGAGACTCTGTCTCAAAAAACAAACGAACAAACAAAAACAAACAAAAACACAACAAAAATTAAGATAGCTTGTCTTTATCCATTTCAGTTGTTGACCAATTTAACCTCAGGATCAGCTGTCCAACAATGGACATTCTCTCTTAAAATGCTCTGGCTTTCCACACTTGCAACATCCACTCATAGTCTTAGGAGGTTTTCCCTGCATTTCCCTTCTTTCTTGGTGTTGAAGTCTATTATAGCTTTGTCTCCTCTGAGGGGGATCTTGATCTAATCGTTTTCTGACTACCTCTTCCACAGTGGAAACCATGCTTTTCGCTTTCTGTTTCTGCTTCTCTTCCTCTCTCCTTACAAAAACCCTCTGAGCTTCCCTCAGCAATTCCTCAATCGGTTTCTCATTCCATCCATCAAGCTTTTGTAATTTTTTTGTAATGTCAGGCCAGCTCTTAGTTACAAAGTTAATCTTCAAAAGGCCTTGCCCTGCTGGATAATCCGGATCTAGCCCGGAGTATTTTCTCATCTCTGAGCCGCTGCGGGAGTGCAGAGGGAGTTTTCTCTTTTTCTTGTTGAATCTCAAATGCCTTTGAGACATTTTATGTCCTAGGAGTGGATTCTTTGATCCCTCGAATTATTATTTCCCTGAGGTGCTGCATTTGGGCCCAGTCCCTGGGATCATTATTGTCCCATTGGGATTGACATTTGGAAATTTTTTTTTTTTTTATTGATCATTCTTGGGTGTTTCTCGCAGAGGGGGATTTGGCAGGGTCATAGGACAATAGTGGAAGGAAGGTCAGCAGATAAACAAGTGAACAAAGGTCTCTGGTTTTCCTAGGCAGAGGACCCTGCGGCCTTCCGCAGTGTTTGTGTCCCTGGGTACTTGAGATTAGGGAGTGGTGATGACTCTTAACGAGCCTGCTGCCTTCAAGCATCTGTTTAACAAAGCACATCTTGCACCGCCCTTAATCCATTCAACCCTGAGTGGACACAGCACATGTTTCAGAGAGCACAGGGTTGGGGGTAAGGTCACAGATCAACAGGATCCCAAGGCAGAAGAATTTTTCTTAGTACAGAACAAAATGAAAAGTCTCCCATGTCTACCTCTTTCTACACAGACACGGCAACCATCCGATTTCTCAATCTTTTCCCCACCTTTCCCCCTTTTCTATTCCACAAAACCGCCATTGTCATCATGGCCCGTTCTCAATGAACTGTTGGGTACACCTCCCAGACCGGGTGGTGGCCGGGCAGAGGGGCTCCTCACTTCCCAGTAGGGGCGGCCGGGCAGAGGCGCCCCTCACCTCCCGGACGGGGCGGCTGGCCGGGCGGGGGGCTGACCCCCCCACCTCCCTCCCGGATGGGGTGGCTGCCGGGCGGAGACGCTCCTCACTTCCCAGACGGGGCGGCTGCCGGTCGGAGGGGCTCCTCACTTCTCAGACTGGGCGGCCGGGCAGAGACGCTCCTCACCTCCCAGACGGGGCGGTGGGGCAGAGGAGCTCCCCATATCTCAGACGATGGGCGGCCGGGTAGAGACGCTCCTCACTTCCCAGACAGGGTGGCGGCCGGGCAGAGGCTGCAATCTCGGCACTTTGGGAGTCCAAGGCAGGCGGCTGGGAGGTGGAGGTTGTAGCGAGCCGAGATCACGCCACTGCACTCCAGCCTGGGCACCATTGACCACTGAGTGAACGAGACTCCGTCTGCAATCCCGGCACCTCCGGGAGGCCGAGGCTGGCGGATCACTCGCGGTTAGGAGCTGGAGACCAGCCCGGCCAACACAGCGAAACCCCGTCTCCACCAAAAAAGTACGAAAACCAGTCAGGCGTGGCGGCGCGCCCCTGCAATCGCAGGCACTCGGCAGGCTGAGGCAGGAGAATCAGGCAGGGAGGTTGCAGTGAGCCGAGATGGCAGCAGTACAGTCCAGCTTCGGCTCGGCATCAGAGGGAGACCGTGGAAAGAGAGGGAGAGGGAGACCGTGGAGAAGGAGAGGGAGACCGTGGGAAAGGGAGAGGGAGACCGTGGGGAGAGGGAGAGGGAGAGGGAGACGGAGAGGGAGAGGGAGGACATTTGGAAATTTTTGTTCAGCTGGCAGCACTCCCTGCCTAGGAGGGTGTTGCCTCTCCCTGATGGTCATGGCCACTCTCCTAATCATTCCCCTTTCTTCTCCTGTGAACAGGATATTCATGATAGACATCATTTCAGCCCAAGTGTAAAAGCTGGTCCTAGGAATTGGTCCAGCTGGTCTGCTAAACTGAGGGGAACTT
The DNA here is from genome assembly GCF_000001405.40 of Homo sapiens. Taxonomy (NCBI): domain Eukaryota; kingdom Metazoa; phylum Chordata; class Mammalia; order Primates; family Hominidae; genus Homo; species Homo sapiens. The sequence goes on along the minus strand of NC_000001.11, from coordinate 247,219,705 downwards.
CTAGGAGTGGTTTCATTTCCTTCTTGAAATTCCTAACTTCAGTACTTGTAAAAGGAGCATTTACAAAGCCAATCTCTCCCTGTCCCATGGGAACTTCCCTAAGAGGGAACATGCTAGATGCCTGCTGTGTGGAAGGGATAGGGAAGTTCTCAATATCCCTCTTACACTCTTGTAATTCTTTTCTTAAATTTGGATAAGGATTTAAAGGAGCAGTTGGCTTGGCTCCCCTGTAGTCTCTGGGTCTTTCTTCCTCTAACCCTCCTGCTGCCCCTTGATCTTCCTGTCCCCTTTTTTGTGAGACGTATGAAGGGGCAAGCACGATAGGGGGTCCCAGGGCTTTTCACTGGGTGAGGGCTCTTCACCAGGCTCTTTTTCTTCTTTTTTGAGGGGGATCATGGGGGCTAATTCCTTGATTCAGCAGAGAGTAACCTATCTCTTCTTGTGAGGATGAAGTTTTATTATTCACAGAGAGAATTAAAGCTTAGAACACAATCCTCATCTGAGCCAAACTTAGGCCAAAAGACAGAAGGCTTATGAATGGGGTCTTTGGGCCAGACAAAACAGCAATACTTTATCATCTTTTCCTTTTCCTTGTCCCTGGTTCGAGGGTTGTTCCACCAAACCTGCAACAATCTCCCCAAAGGACTATCCAGGGGAATGTCAGAGGGAGTCTCTTTGGCTCCCTCTTTCCTTTGGCTCCCAGGCCTAGAATTCCTGTTTCCCATTTTCTGCCAGTCTCTGCGTCTGAGTTTTTCCCTGTCTACTCAACCCCCCTTACTGGAGGTTTCTTGCACACCCCGAGACCTCCAAAAATGCCCCACAACCAAGGCAGTACTTACAGTCCAATTTTCCTTCCTTGGCTGGTGCATGAGTTTGCCTGGTTCCCGCAGTGCCTGCTTTTCTCCCTGTGTTGCTTCTGCTGCCTCCTGAATAATAGTCTTGGGTTTGTTTATGCCTTTTATGGGAAGCTGGGATGCCCAGATAGAGCGGGCCACCTAAATCAGGTGGGACACATCTCCCCTCTCGGCCAAAGTCCCACTTCACACAGGCACATGGATCCCAGATGGGCCCCCACGCTTGTGAGAAACACACTCACCTGTCCAAATCCAAAGAATGGACTTAGAGGCCTGAAGAACAGCCAAAGGGAGACTTTTAATAATGGTCTTGCAAGATCAGGTGTCTGGTAGGCAGGCACAACCGGGGCGGTCACAACAGGTAATTTATCTCCTAGCACACAAGTCCCTCCCCCAGTTCCTCACTGGTTGAGTACTGTGGGGTTACAATCTTCCCAGACATTGCCTAAGTTTCATCATCCCCCTTATAAGATTATACCCCTGTCCTCTTCCCTGCTTAAGTTTCGATTTCCCAATAATGAAACTTTCTTCCCTTTTATGAGCTGACCCCTCCTCTACATTCTGTTCACTTCTCGTGACCTTCTAGGTGCATAAGCCATGTGGTCTGTTACATTTGCAGGCTGGCTGCCGGTGCTTAGATTTATCATGCTGAAAATGGACCATTTAAAATGTTTTCTCACAAGTCTTGCATGTACAAACATGGAAGGCAACATTCACATTCAGAAGCACAAAAAGCAAACAAACTGAAATCAACAATGCTTCATAGATTCAGTAGAGAATTGAATTTACAGGGCAAATCGCTGCCCGAAATTGGAAAGATAGAGAGGCACTTTCAGAGAATCATAACTTACTTGATCAGAAAACTATAATAAACCTCTGTGGGAAACAACACAAGTGAAAGAAAATCTAAACTCTAATTGGTGAGTTGCTTAAGTTTGAGAGTTAAAATCTCCAGAGTACCCATTCTCAGGGGTCCTCACAAATGGATAAGTTCTTCTCCAGAAACACTCTCAACCCTGTCCTCATGAAGAACACAGCATTGTCTCCTGCTTCTAGCAGGAGAAGAAAAGTAACAATTTTCAAGTATGTCCAGATAATTCTGTTCTTAAAGGTCCAGCCTTCAAAAAAACAAACAAACAAAAACAAACAAAAAAACCCAACCACCTATTTCTCAAAAGCCAAACTAACCGAGATTTTACCAGAGCCAAACCTCTTGAGGCCAGGCGCAGTGGCTCATGCCTGTAATCCCAACACTTTGGGAGGCTGAGGCGGGTGGGTCACCTGAGGTGAGGAGTTCGAGACCAGCCTGGCCAACATGGTGAAACCCCATCTCTACTAAAAATACAAAATTAGCCAGGTGTGGTGCCTCATGCCTGTACTCTTAGCTACTTGGGAGGCTGAGACAGGAGAATTGCTTGAACCCTGGAGGTGGAGGTTGCAGTGAGCCAAGATCACTCCATTGCACTCCAGCCTTGGCAACAAGAGCGAAACTCCGTCTCAAAAAAAAAAATCACAGGGGAATTCTTAGAAACACTCATAATTTTAAACCTGACAGCAACTAAGATGAAAATGTGTTTACCAACATTGGAGTTACAAAATTAAGATACAAAAATCAATTCCACTTTTATACACTTGAAAAGAAATATCTAAAAATGAAATTAATAAAAAAAGTCATTTATAACAGCATCCAAAGAATAAATACCTAGGAATACATTTAACAGAAGAAGTACAAAACATAGACTCGGAAAACTACATACCTTGTTGAAAGAAGCTAAAGCTGTAAATTAATGGAAAACAATCCCATATTTATAGATCAGTAGGCTTAATATTATTAAGATAGCAATAACTCTTCAAAATAGCTACAGATTCAGTACAATCCCTATCAGAATTCCAGGTGACTACCTTGTGAAATTTTAAAGTTGATGCTGAAATTTACATATGAAATTACAAAAAACTCAGAATATCCCAACAATCTTGAAAAAGAGCAAAGCAGAGGGACTCAAACTTCACAATTTCAAAATGTGCATCAAATCAACAAAAAACAAGATAATGTAGTTAGTAAAGGCACAAGGAAAGTCATTTAGATAAATGATATACAATAGAAAGTCCGGAGAGAGTGACATCAGCAAAATGGCAGAGTGAGCTACTCCAAACACCTGTCACTGCACAGAAACATAAAAAAACAGGCACAACTATCAGCAACAACTTTGTCAATACTCTTGAAAACCATCAAAGGTTTACAGTGATCATGTGAATGCAGACTCAAAGAAAACAAAGAAAAATAGGAGAAAAGTCTTGTAGCGTTTTTACTTGTCTTTGCCCAAACCCCTCCCTTTCTCAGGGCCAGTCTTAGGCAGCAGCTTGCGTTCCCTGTGAAAGAGTCTGGTTTCAGAGGGAGCAAAACAGATGTTATTTGCAAATTATTGCATTTGTATGTTACAATTTCTCTGTGTGCTGAAGAATTGAGAAAGCCCCTTGCCTGCCCGAGAAAAAACACATGTTCAGAAAAGACTAGAGAAGACTCTCATTTTCAGCACTGGTTGATCTCTAGGCTTAGTTCAGTGGGAAGGGAAGGCTGAAGCAGAGTTTTAAACAGCTGAAGTGTTAAAGAAATACCCATCACAGAACCATTTACACAAACCAGAAGAGGTAAGGCTTTTATTTCTTCTTTTTTCTCATTCAAGGAGATATGTGTCAAAACACTACTGAACACAAGCAAAAAAAAGATCAGACTTTAGTGACTATATACAAGTAATGCAGTCCCTGCAAAAATATTTTGGAAAAGTCACTTTAAAAAGTAGACAACTACATTCTTCAGCAAACAAGAATAGCAAATACTAGAGCAGAGGGAATAATTTCCTGAGTTATCCCATTAAAATATTTAAATGTTCACTCTTCAACTACTAAAATTACAAAGCATATGAAGAAACAAGAAAATATGGCTGAGGAATGAAAAAAATTATTTGAGCTAAACCATCTCTGAAAAACCCCAGACAGAGTTACTAGACAAACACTTTAAGTCAATGTATTAAATCTTTAATATGTATATGCCTAAAACAGAAGATCAAAATATATGAGGCAAACACTTTTAAAACTTTTAAAAAATTAAATATTTACAATGATAGTGGCAGACACCAACACACCTCTATCAGTAATTGACAGATCAAGAAGGCAGAAAATTAGTAATAATATAGTTTAACTCCACAGCATCCATCAACTGGATTTAATTAGTGTTTACAGAATATTTTAACCAACAGCAGCCAAGTACACATTCTCATAGAAAATCAAAGAATATTCACCAAAATAGACCACACTCTGAGCCATAAAACATATCTTAACAAATGTAAAAGACTAGTTAACATATAAAGTATGCCCAGAAAACATATTAAAATTAAACTAGAAAGCAGTAACAGAAACAGTTGTAAAGCCTTCAAATAATTGTAAACAAAACAACAAAGTTCTAAATAACATAAGAGTCAAAGAAAAGTCTCTAGAGAAATTTAAATATTTTGAAGGAAATAAAAGTATATCATATGAAAATTTGTGGAATGCAGCACAAGCAGTGCATAGGGGGAAATTTAGTGCACTGAATGCATGTGCTTGAAAGGACGAAAGATCTAAAATCTATAATGTAACCTCCTACATTAGGAAACTAGAGAAAGAAAGTAAATCTAAATCAAGCACAGAAAATAACAATGGGAGAAGACATCAATGAAGATGCAAACAGGAAATCAATGGAGAAAATCAACATACAAAATGCTGGTTTTTCGTGAACATTGATAAAATTAATAAGCCTATAGTGAGGCTAGAAAAATAGAAAAAGCATAGAAATGACTAATTAGAAATAAAAGAGGGGCCATCACTACTAATCTCATGGACATCAAAAGGCCAGTTTCATAACCAGAAAGTTGATAACTTAGTTGAAAAAAACCAGTTCTTTGAAAGATGCAATCTCCCAAAAGTCACACATGGAGAGATAAACAATATGACTAGGTCTATATGTATTAAAGAAATTGAATCAATAACTAATAATTACTTACATAAGAAAAAAAGGTCTAGATGGTCTCACTGGTGAATTGTGCCAAACAGTAAAAAAAGAAAACAGAAAAATTGACACCAATAAGCCACAATCTCTTCCAAAAAATGAGAGTAGGGTAAATACTTTCTAAAGCCACTCTATAAGGTCAACATTACCCTACTACCAAACTACATGGGTACATTACAAAAAAAGAAAACTATAGACAAAGAAGTCTCATGATCATAGATGCAAAAATTCTCAACAAATACAAGCAAAGTGAATCTAAAGATGTATTAAAAAATTATACAGCACAACCCACATGGGAATTATCACAGGTGGAAAAGGGTGATTCAAAATTCAAAAGTCAAGTAATGTAAACCATCACATCAGAAAACTAAACAACAAAAATTATTATATTAATAATTGTAGAAAAACCATAAGGCAAAAAAGGGGAAATATATTGAAATTAAGGAGAAAGAAATTAAACTGTCCTTGCTTTCAGATGATATGATTGTCTATGTAGACGATTCCAAATAATGAAGAAAGAGCTGCTGGAATTAGTAAAAGATGATACAAAGGTTGTAGAATAAGAGGTTAATATACAAAAGTCAACCATTTTCTGTATATTAATAAAGAACAATTGGATTTGAAATTACAAACACAACACCACTTTTATAGCACCAAGAAAAACAGAGAGACAAATATATATTATATATATATTTGTCATATATATGTCATATATATATATATGACAAAGATCTTCATGACAAAAACTACAAGTTTCTAATGAAAAAATCAAAGGAGATTTAAATAAATGGAGAGATGTTCTATGTCATGGAAAAGAAGCCTCAATATTGTTAAGATGTTGGTTTGCCCCAATTTGAATTATAGATTCAAACGATCCCAATAAAACTCTTTAAAAGTTATGTAGTCAATAATGATAAATTGACCCTAAAAATTATATGGAAAGACAAATGACCCAGAATGGTTGACAGAACAATGAAGAGTAAATTTCCAGTACTCACACTACATGATTTTAAGATTCATTATAAAGTTATAGTAATTAAGACAGTGTAGTATTTGGAAAAGAATAGACAAATAGGTCAATAGAACAGAATAGAAAATTCAGAAATAAACCCACAAAATACAGTCAACTATTCTTTGACAAAGGAGTAAAGGAAATTTCATGAAAATGGTTTTTTTCAAGAAATATTGCTTGACACCTACACATCTATATGCAAAGAAATAAATGAGACAAAGACCTTGCAATTTTCACAAAGGTAGTTCAAAATGAATCAAAAACTTAAATGTGAAATGTAAAATCTGAAACTTCTAGGAGATAAGACAACAGAAACTAGGACACCTTGGGTTTGACAACAAGGTTTCAGATGCAACACCAAAAGCATGAGTCATAAATGACAAAATTGATGAATTGGACTTTAATCTTGTTTTGCAAAAGATACTGTTAAGACAATGAAAAGACAAGCTGCTGAATGAAACGAAATAATTGCAAAAGACATAGCTGATAAAGAACTGTTAGTGAAAATATATAAAGAAGTCTGAACAACCCAGATGCCAGTCACAAGCCCTGTGGGACCATCTACACTTCTGAGCTACTGCCTATAAATTGGCCCTGTTAAAAATCTAAGGAAAACTTTAAGACATACTCAGATATTTTGCTAAATTGCAGCAGGAGAAAATGTCTTATCAGCAGACCTATCTTTATGTCACTTGCTTTCAGAATAAGAGGCTATTTCAGGCACAGCAGTTTTAGTCTGTGTTAAAATCATAAGCAGCCTAAAAATACCCAAAAATGATGAAAAGAATTTGCAGATATATGGAATACATTTTATGTTTTCAAAGTCTCCTATGATGAAAAATAAATAATGTGTTGTTTGGCTTTGATTTCCTAAACTCATTCCTCAGCTATTTTCCTAAATATTCCATATCCTTCCAACATGCTTCTGCAGTTTCTTGAGGGATGTTATGCCAATGATAAACAGTACCATATGGGCACAAATATCAAAAGAATTCTGCTTCAACAGCAGAAGTATAACTCTCCAGAACCTTGAAGACCCAGGGCAGTTGCATGAGTAGTATGGTCTATGGAGGTACACAGGCTTTGGAGTTACAGTTGATTCTGTATCCCAATCCAGCTGCTTAGTAGCTGTGGGGTTTTGGAAGTTTCTTGACTAGGAACACTTATATAAACCTCATCTGCAAGAAAAGGCATAATGATACTGATTGCAAATATTCTTCATTCCTCCCTGTATACATGTCCTTTGCAAAGTGCTTTTATAGCTGCTCCCTTCAAGAGGCAAAATCTGTATTTCAAAATGTTTAGAGTCTTATTTGCTCTGGTCAACAGAAAACTGAACATATAACAGTGTGCTAGTCTGGGACCTAGGTTCAAAACTTGAGTGCTTTTGTTTTTCTTTCAGAATCCTGTTATCTCTATGATAATAAGCACACATTAACTTGCTGGGGAACGAGATACCACACGGAGAAGAACGAAGGTGCCCCAGTTGACAGGCAACTCACCCCTAGAAACAGCTGCAATCAGCATCTGCCCACACATGTCTGAAGGATCCCAGCTGAGACCAAAAGAATTGCCCAGCTGAGTTTAGCTTAAATTGCTGACCAGCCGAATCATGAGCTAGTAAGTTTCGGTGGTTTGTTATGCATCACTAACTAACTAACACACACACCCATTACAGACAGGATGTCAGAATTCAATGAGAGACTGATTACTAGTTACCTGCAAACAGTAGGCACCCTATAGGTATTGATTTTCTTTTCCCTTTATTTAAATTTGGATCTCTTGTTAGACGGTGGTGAGTTATGTAGAGATACATGTAGATGTGTACACGTGATTGGTGCATAAACTCACCCAGTCTCCCACACCATAGGAGGAAAAAGACAACCAATAGCCTGTTTATTAGCGCCAAGGCCAAATACCAATATCAGAAGTTTGTTTAATCTATTTTCTGTATATCTAAACTTTGGAAGTCAAAGCTGTGGAAGACCTGAAGACTGGGGATTAGGTCCTCCTGGGGGCTCCATTGTTCTTTTTTTGACTGTCTGATTTTTGGGAGGAAGATGGACAGCAGGCGGGGCAGCAATGGTCTACCTGTGGACACTCTCTTTTTGCAGCCCTTGCTCTCTCTAGGGCCCTGTCCCTTCAGCCTTTGGCCTGGGGAGAGACGTTGATAAGGAGGACCGATCTTTCACTGCTGGAAGGAAATGAGGGTTCAGACCGTTCACCTCCCTCAGAGCTGCACGGCAGTGTGACAGCCACTGGCCATGTGTGAGTACTGAGGGCCTGGAATGTGGCTGAACAGAGACGTGCTGGGAAGGTGAAATACAGAGTGAGTTTCACAGATTGACTACCGAAAATTATATAGTTCATTAATATATTGATGAATATTGAGATATTGATCATACATTGAAATGATAATATTTTGAATATATTGGGTTAAATAAATTATTACAATCAGTTTCACCTGTTACTTTTAATGTTTAAAAGGTGGCTACTAGGAAATTTAAAATTCACACGTGGCTTACATTTTATTTCTTAAAGGATTGCCTCCCTTTTTGAAATTTCAGGCTGCCTGATCAAACTACCAGAGGCCAGAAAGGTCATAAAATCTGAAATGTTAAAATCATTGCCATTATATTGTTTTCATTTGTGAATAACATATATATATTATTTATAAATGGATATAACCTTATACAAAAGGTTAAATGAAAATGCCCCCTGGGCTGGGCCAGGCCCAGCGCAAGCAGGAAGCCCTGCATGAAAAGGCTGCAGCCAAGAACCTGTCACTTTGTCGCCCTCAGCCCAGCGTCCGATCACATCCTCCGTCACTCAGGGACTGAGGGGGCGGGGCCTGGAGCCCTATCCAATCAGGGGCGCTGACGTAGGAACCGTCCAATCGGGCGTGCAGCCGGACAGAAGGGCGCGGCTTCCGGGATCTGGCGGGGCCTTCGTCTCTCCTGCCAGCCTCAGCTGGGTCGTCTTCTGTGCTCGGCGTGCTTTGCTCGGGGAAGCTCAGGTGGCCGCCACAGCCTCTTGCCCTCTGACCTGCAGGTATCAGGAGATCCATAGCTAAGCAGCCTGGACACCCGGGAAGCTGGGAAATGGTGAGTATGTGGGCGGGGTCCCGAGGTGGGCAGGGGGCTGATGGAAACGGGCTGGAACTGGCTGTGGCGGCCCCAGGCCTCCCCACAGCTGCCTCCGGAGTCTGCAGACCCGAGACCCCGCTGGACCCGCCCGGCCCTCAGCTTCCCCTGGCCTCAGGATGTGGGCTGGGCCGCCAGCCTCACCCGGCGTCCGGTCCGCTTCTGCGCTCGACTTCCGCCCGGCGCGTCCCCTCGCTGGCAGCTGTGCGGTGGCGACGGCAGGGGCCTGGGGGAGAGCCCCGACCCAGGAGGAGCCACTGCGTGGGAGGAGCTGTGGGCTGTGGGGTCCCAGGCCCTCCTTTCTCCTGGTAAAAATGAAAAGGGAATCAAGGTTTAAACGTTAAAGAGATTATTTGAGCAAAGAGCTGTTCATCAATGCAGAGCGCCCAGTCATGGTTTGTGGGTGCTTGGAGCAAAGGCTTTTGTAAGGGGCATAAGGAAGCGAACCAAATTCAGAACTTGGTTACAGTTACAGTTGTGGAGTCGCCTTATGTGGACTGTCCAGGTGGAAATTTCCTGGTTATTTAATGAGAGGTTAATTGGAGGTTTGTGGTTGGTTCAGGCTGAAAATCGTTTCTTCCTAAGGTAGTAATTTACAAGACATGTATTTCAGTTAGATTTTTTTCCTTAGGAACCGATGGTCCTAGTGCTACTTCAGTCTAATTGATTGCTAGTTAATTATTTTAAACACTCCAGAGGGGGACTGGTTTTCCACTGCGTTTCCAAATGTGTGGCAAGCACGGTCTCACATCCACCATCCTGTCCCCCCAGCCTGTGTGTCCTTTATTGTACATTTCACACACAGTGTTTTCATCATTTTTTCACAGAGCATTGGATGGCACTTTTTTTAGACATCTGTTTTCTGTTTGTAAACATTTTATGTGAGCAGAGAAGAATCACCTGACACACTGCTTTAAAAAAAATCTTTGTGTCTCTTCTTTTATCTTCCCCAGGCACAGACACCTTATCGGAATGTCTTTGGTTTGAGGTTCTGCTTTGGAAATTTTACAAGGTCATGTGTCCTCAGCCACCCTCCAGTCTTTTTCTGTGCCTGGGTTTCATAATTGTCTGGGGGTGACCCATCTCAAGGCATGTTTAGTGAACATTAGCACGTTGTTCCTTTCCTCCCAGAGGACAGCCTCAGTGATGGAGGTGGAGCCTCTTAAGGGAGCAGATGGATGCCCTGGGGCTGAGAGGAAGCTGGTCCTACCCTTCATTTACAAAGCTAACCCCTTAGGACATGCAGATTGTCTTCACCCAACTCCAGCGTCTGTTCCTTGGGGACACATTGCTGGTCAGCCAGTTGGATGCTGATATTGAGAAGAAAAAACAGAAATGATTTCTGACATCTGGATTCTCTCAGACTTGTGAAGGGGGAAAAACTGTTCCAAAGGACAAGGAAGACCCACTGCAGTGAGGGGGCGCGAGAATCTGCAAAGTCAAGCCACTTGGGGCACCCAGTGGGGCACAGTGTGGTGGCTCCTGGGCAAGGCGGGAAGGTGGTCAGTGAGCAGTATGGAAACAGAGGAAGGTCCCAAGTGATAGGACGGCCTGACTTGGCACTTGAGTCAGATTTGTCTGTGTTCCAATCAGCATTGCCACTTCCTGGGTTTTACACCTTGAAACATTTTTTTCACTTAATTCAACCTTAGTTTTTTATTAACTGTCAATTGCATTTTAACAGTAGAGTTTCAAAGGTAAGAAAATGTTTAAGAGGTGGATTTCAGAAAAGACATTACATATATAGTCAAATATTCACTTGTTAAAAATTCTGATTTACCTTTTTCTTCCCTAGAGTATAGTAAGTTTGTCAGGCCTGTTCCTTTTTAGGGGTGATTTTAAACAGAATCCCAGGGCGTAGCTGTGGGAATGCTACCAGGGAAAGTAATAGGGAAAATCCTCTTCCAGTATGGCTATAGGAAATGAATACATTTCCACAAAAAAAGTAGTAGATTAATTGGTGAATTACATTGCTTCATCAAAATATTAGTTCCTCTTTTTTGCAGGGTAGAGGACTTGTGGAGTTGATATCTCTATTATCTAGATGTCTGAGTTTAATACTGAATTTTACAAGATGGGACTTGGCATCTCCTAGATATGTTCATATGTGATTGTTTACTGAATGATTTGAATTACGGAAATAATGTGACATGTTTATTGTCTGAAACTGATAGAGAGTTTTGCTTTTTCTATTGAGGTATACAATGTAAGTGCCTTATAATTTTATTCTCTTAAATAAACACTGTGTTTGAGTGATTTTGCTGGATTCTTCAAACACTGAGCATTTTCTCATTTACAACTAAGTGAATAACCCTGACTGGGAAATAGAAGTCGGAGCCCAGTGACTCTAAGCCAAGGCCAATCTTGAGCCTGCAAAACAAGGTCATTGAAGACCCGGTTAGTTCTTACTGGGGAGCCTCCCCTGCAGGTGTCCCAGCCTGCACACCCCAACATGAAAGGAGCACTTTATACTGAGAGGAGCTATAGAGCCCTAGAGAGCTGGGATCCACAGGCAGATGCTGTTGGGGTCGGAGTCTGGAGGCTCTTTCTGAGGATGGAATTGTTATTGTTCTGGGGCTGTTTCTAGACTTTGTCAAATAAAACAAATTCACATTTAGATAAGAAGTTACTTACTTCAAAGGAGTATTACAACAGAGGGAAAGCACCAACTATATCTTCCAGGATCTCAAAGTTTAGGCAGACAAGGGCTTTCTTTCGTTTGGAGGAACAAACCAGAGTAGAAAGGTGAGAGTGAGAGGACAAGATGCAGGGTGGCAAATCAGATCCTAGATTAGAGAAAGTTTGACTCCCAAATCAGCCTGTTCTTAGGAGGGGCATAAATAGGAGTTGTATGTTAGCTCAAGCAAAGGGTGGGACAAATTCATGGGCCTAGGAGAAGGAGAGAATCTTAAGCAGTTTTGTTAATAAGTATTTTGTTCTAACAACTGAAGACAAAATTATTCAGCTGACTGTTTATAGGGGGAAAATGGGAATTTGAGAGTCTGTGCCTGGCTTTGTGATAGGTATAAGAAGGAGCTTCATCTAAGTTAGAGGGGTGTTGCTTTTTATTAAGCTGTTCTTGGAGAACACAGAGCTGAAGGATTTCATTAATCACAGCTATTTACCTGCTCCATCTTCCCCCACCACTTTCCATTGCCATATTCAGCTCTTCCATTTGACTGTTCCTGAGTTGTATCTTTTACAATAAACTGGTAAACATAAGTACAGTGCTTTGCTGAGTTCTGCGAATAGCTGTATCAAATTATTGAACTTGAGGAGTGGGTGATGGGAGTTTCTGATCTATAGGCAGTAGCCCAGAAGTATTGCTGGGCCCCCGGGGACGTGTGACTGGCCCCTGCCTTGGGGGCAGTGTTGTGGGACTGAGTCCTGAACCTGTGGGTCCTGTACCAACTTTTTTTTGGGTGGTGTCAGAACTGAGTTGCTCCAGCACCCTGTTGGTGTTGGAGAATTGGTTGGTGTTCAGCAAACTCCACACATTTGGTGTCAGAAAAAAAAGACATCACAGCCTGTAATCCCAGCACTGTGGGAGGCCAAGGCGGGTGGATCACGAGGTCAGGAGATTGAGACCATCCTGGCTATCACAGTGAAACCCCGTCTCTACTAAAAATACAAAAAACTAGCCGGGCGTGGTGGCGGGCGCCTGTAGTCCCAGTTACTTGGGAGGCTGAGGCAGGAGAATGGCGTGAACCTGGGAGGCAGAGCTTGCAGTGAGCCCAGATCACGCCACTGCACTCCAGCATGGGCGACAGAGCAACACTCCGTCTCGAAAAAAAAAAATAAATAAAAAAGACAAGACATCACAGTGGTCTGGGCTGGAGGCACCTCGGGGTGTCGCAGGATTGGGAGGGTCTATTCTCCTGCACACACACTGCACATTCTCCTGGGATTCCAGCTCTCTTCTCAGGATCAGACAGGACTGAGGACTTAGAAGCAAAGAGTTCTGAGGACAGACCCCGTCTTTAGTCTGCTGCCACTACGTGATTTTCACCCACTTGTAAACATACCCACTAGGCACTGACGTGGCCATGTCCCTCCCAGAACAAGGCTTCACCCTCAGGAATCCCATCACAGCACCTTTGCTTCTAGAGTTTCCCATGGAAAACCCACACAGGTGCCTGGAAGACTCCTGGCCTATCCCCACCCCCAGCAACCTGGCCCCTCCACGATATGACCGTCATCTCATCTGCCTGCATGGACACAGGAATGAGCCGGAGCATAGCCCCACTTGGGCCAGTATCTGTAGGCACAGACCACTTCTTCACTAACCCTGCACTGAGTACTTAACATGGGTACTTGACAGCACTTTTCTGTTTTTTCTTTCCCACAAACCCTCTTTGATACACAGTTTGTCCCAGGCTACCCCTCAAGTGCCTGAATCCAGACCTACTGGAATTCAGATATCCATGAGTCCAAGACGATGGCCCTTGACTTGGCTGTGGAAGGTCATTGAAGGCCCGGTTAGTTCTTCCTGGGGAGCACCCCCCTGCAGGTGTCCGTACACCCCAAGCATGAAAGAAGCTCTTTATACTGACAGCAGCTAGAAATAAGAGGCTTAATTCCTCCACCAGAAAGTAGGGGAATAAATTTTGCTCTTCTCCCCTTTCTTAAAGCTTTTAATTATTTTATTTTTTGAGACACGGTTTCATTCTTTTCACTCAGGCTGGAGTGCAGTGGCACATTCATAGCTTACTGCAGCCTCAGACTCCTGGGCTCAAGTGATCCTCCTTCCTCAACAGCGAGAACTAAAGGGACACACCACACCACATTGCAAATTTTATTTTTTATTTTGTGTAGGGGTGAGATCTCACTTATGTTGCCCTGGATGGTCTCGAACTCCTGGCTTCATGCTGTCCTCTTGCCTTGGCCTCCCAAATGCTGGGATTACAGGCATGAGCCGCTGTGCCTGGCCGACATAGACATCTTAAAGCCCCAGTTTCAGAGTGGCACCCTTTGAGTTTTCCAGGTCCAGTGACCTGTTACAGTTGTGTGAGAAGCTCCTGGTATAAAAAGACCCTGGTGGCTGAGGCGGGCGGATCACCTGAGGTTGGGAGTTCAAGACCAGCCTGACCAACATGCAGAAACCCTGTCTCTACTAAAAATACAAAATTAGCCGGGGTGGTGGCGCATGCCTGTAATCCCAGCTACTCGGGAGGCTGAGGCAGGAGAATCGCTTGAACCTGGGAGGCAGAGGTTGTGGTGAGCCCAGATCACACCATTTCACTCCAGCCTGGGCAACAAGAGTGAAACTGTCTCAAAAAAAAAAAAAAAAAAAACAGCCTGGTGACAGAGTCTGTAAATGTAAACAAGAACCTCAGCAGGGTGAGGTTAGGGCCACAAAATAGGCAGAGCTGTGGTCACGGTCACACCCACCTGTAAAGTGTGATATGGAAGCACTGTTGTCCTTTCTCTTACTCAAGATTTAGCTAATTAGGGACAGGTGATATCTCCTCTGGATTAAGAATCTGCCACTCCACCGTGGCAGTTTTGTTTTTTGGGGTTTTTTTGTTTTGTTTTTTTTTTTGAGACGGAGTCTCACTCTGTCACCCAGGCTGGAGTGCAGTGGGGTGATCTCAGCTCACTGCAACCTCCGCCTCCTGAGTTAAAGCAATTCTCCTGCCTCAGCCTCCTGAGTAACTGGGATTAGAGGTGCCTACCAACAGGCCCAGCTAATTTTTTTGTATTTTAGTAGAGACAGGGTTTCACCATGTTGGCCAGGCTGGTCTCGAACCCCTGACCTCAGGTGATCCGCCCGCCTCAGCCTCCCAAAGTGCTGGGATTACAGGTGTGAGCCACCGCGCCGGCCTGTTTTCTATTTTTGTCCCACAGAATCAGCCGGAATCTCTCTTGCCTAGATCACCATGGGGACATAAGCCCAGGGTCACTGAGGACCCTGTCGCAGGTACCTGGGAGTCTTTAAACATTAGTGCAGACTCAGGTCAGGCTGACAGGAAGGTCTAAATCTGCTTCCAGTCTATGGCCATACCACTCCGAACATGCGCTATCTCATCTCATCTCGGAAGCTAAGCAGGGTCAGTCCTGGGAATACTGGATGCTGTAGGCTTTTTTCCTTTAAAAATAAACAAATAAACAAAGCTGCTTCCATCTCAGAGGAAGAGAAATGAGTCATGCATGTTTCTTCTTTCCCCCTCACAAAAGGAATCTCTTTGATTGATATCCAGATGGGACTGGCTCCCGTTTCCTGGTATTGGGTAAAAAACAAGGAGGAGATCTCGAGACTCAAACTGATAAACCAGTTGCTTCCATTTCATATGGCCATTACAAAAACAGATGGCACAGTCTTGGGTCCTTACCAACCAGGAACTTTCAGTCTAGAGCCAGTGGATAAACGGTTGAATTCGGCATCCTGTGGTCAGCACAAAGAAGGGAGGTATACAGAGGATTGTGGCTTCATTGGGGCCACTTCTCTTTTCTTGTTCTTTTGTGAGTTCTGGTGTTGCCACCTGAAGGGCTATTTATGGACAAAAGAGTTGTTATTATCTTTATTTCTAGTGCATTTTCCTTGCCAAGAATAAATATTTAGTTTCTAATATATTTGTCCTAGAAAGCTCTAAGGGTGTTGGTTAAATTGCCCGTGACTGGATCTTATAAAATAGACGAGGAAGTAGCTAAAATTGGTTAAAATTACACAAACTCTGGGAGTCAAGCGTCTGTTGGGCAGGCCTAGGACAAAGAGAACCGGTAGTACCCAGAGGCCTAAAGGTGAGAAGCTGAGGGTCTGCTTCGTGGCCCAGCTCTGCCAGATCAGCCTGCTTCCCAGGCCTTATCCCACCCTGAAATCTCCGTCGCAGAATTCATTAGAGGACATCAGAGTTGTTGCGTGGTGGTTCCTGTGATCTCTCCAGAGCAGGTGCTGACAATTTTCCCAAACCCAAAAGCAGGTAAATGAGAACAAAGCACTGTGTAATTGTGGCCCTTTGTTTTTCATTGAAACCAGTGCTGCCAGAGACATCCCACCCAGCAGCCTGCTGTTCATCCTGCAGACCCAGGTGTTCTTCATTCCTGCAGATGCAGTAGTTCCTCCATGAGTTACCAGAAAGTAAATACAAACACGACAACAACGAAAAATCCCTCTCAACTACATTTAACCCCTTCTTTCTGTATCTCTCCCATCTGTCTGTATTTAGCTTTCATTCTATATATTTTCTTTCTAAAACTCAGTGATGGAGAAACAGAAAAAGAAAAGCTGGGCCCTTCATGTAAACCCTGGGGATTATGGAACACTTAGTACCCACCTCCCGGAGTGTTAGAATTACCTCACCTATTACTAGGTTTTCAGCGCTGTCCTCTGTAACACACTTCTGAGCACGTAGTATGTGTTCCGTAAACATTCATTAATGCCCGTGTCCACGTTCTCCCAGTGCAGACTTACTCAGACATTGCTGCCTTCTCTAGACTTTAGTAAACTTTAAACGCTCAGCAGAGAATGCCATTTTTCAGGATGGCGATTGGTGGTCTTCACTTGCAATCAGAAGCATTGCTGGGTTTTTTTTGTTTGTTTGTGTTTTGAGACCAAGTTCCCTCTTGCTGCCCCGGCTAGAGTGCAATGGTGCGATCTCAGCTCACTGCAACCTCTGCCTCCCAGGTTCAAGCGATTCGCCTGCCTCTGCCTTCCCCAGTAGCTGGAATTACAGGCATGCGCCACCACACCCGGCTAATTTTGTATTTTTAGTAGAGACACGGTTTCTCCATGTTGGTCAGGCTGGTCTTGAACTCCTGACCTCAGGTGATCCACCCGCCTCGGCCTCCCAAAGTGCTGGGATTACAGGCGTGAGCCACTGCGCCCGGCCAAAGCATTTCTGTTGTGATACCGGTGTTGAGTACAAGGGACTCTGTGCTGTATTTGCCTTCTCTAGCTGAGTGCTGCTGATGAGGAGTCCGGGGGAACAGTATCAGAAGACTTGTTATAGAAGCCCATTTGCAGACCCCTTTCACACCTGCGGAAACACATTACTTAGAATGGGGCCTGGAATACCAAATTAGAATACCAAATTATTTATATGTACATTGAAGCCAGAGAGACAGTACTCAGGTATGTGGTTCTCAGCCCAGGCTTTCAATTAGAAACAAATAGCCAGTTTGGAGAACTACCATCACACATGCTGTCTCCAAAGATCCTGTCTGTGGTCTGGATGGAAGCATAATTGTTGTTTTAAGTAAGTGCCCCCCAGCGATTCTAAGGTGAGATCAGAGTCAACCTTGAGGGCTCCCAGATACAGTCACGAGACTTGGGTTCCAAAAGGAGGTCAGAGGGCCTGCTCTTCGGTTTGATAAGGGTAGGTCACCAAGATCCATATTTCCTTTGCTGTACCAGAAATTGCTGGAGTTCATGGCAGGGGAGATCACCTGAAGGCAGGAAATTTTTGGTCTTTATGTGGTAGCTCATTTTTCCTCTCCTGTGATAAAGAATAGGGGAGTATTCCCTTTTCTGCACTGCAGGGCCTTCTGCCTCTAGGTGTGCTGGTTGCAGGTGAAAGGGTTGTGTTGACACCTTTAAAGACATATTCTCAAATGCAGGTGTGATTTGTCCAGATAATCTCACCTGAGAAGGAATCCCAGAGAAGAAGGAAGAAGAGGAAGAAATGGCTGGTTCTCAGGTGAATGTGTCTGGGTTCAGGGGATGTGTCTCCTCTTTTCTTCTGGGATGTTATGTGTTTAGAACTTGCAAACCTTTATTTCTGTACTTCTGATGTACCTGCCTAATGTGTTTCTTCCCAACTACCTTCCCCCCTTCCCCCCTCCTTTCTTATGATTGATAAGGAACTCTGTAAAATCCTTCCTCCTGTGTACCAGAACCTTCTCTCCATTCCCTCCTTCCAGGCTTCTTATATGTCATGACCAAATCTTACCATTAATGTATGATGGGCAGTATTCAGATGTTCTGTGACATATCAACATGGGAAAGTGTGGATCCCCAGGATTATCCGTGGGGATGGGGCTGGGTCTTGGGATGTCAGTGAAGAAGGGGATCATGTACCGTTTAGATTTCATCCACATGCTCCATCATCTCTATGCAGAACAGAATTAAGAAAAGAGACATTTAAAGAGGATGGCATTCATTGCCTGGAATAACTTAAAGTTCTGAAAAGAGAATAATTAGAAGACATTTGCTGTCTAGGATGCTAAAGAAACACTATTGAAATACCCTATTGCAGATTAAAGAACCAGGGAAACAGCTATAGCTTGAACTTTGCATAAAACTGATGTTTCTGGCCAGGCACTGTGGCTCACACCTGTAATCCCAGCACTTTGGGAGGCTGAGGCGGGCAGATCACTTGAGGTCAGGAGTTCAAGACCAGCCTGGCTAACATGATGAAACCCCATCTCTACTAAAAATACAAAAATTAACTGGGCATGGTGGTGCACGCCTGTAATCCCAGCTATTTGGGAGGCTGAGGTGGGAGAATCACTGGAACCTGGGAAGCAGAGGCTGCAGTGAGCCAAGATTGCACCATTGCACTCCAGCCTGAGCGACAGAGCAAGACTGTCTCCAAAAAACAAAACAAAAAAAGGATGTTTCTACATGATTAGGTTCAGATTGTAATTTACTATTTTTGTGGTCAATAATATTAGAGCAGTGATACTTTGTCCTTGATGTCATGTGATCCTTGATGTCATTTTATCCTTGACATCTTTGATGTTGATTTATCCTATTATAGTTGATCTTAATTTTATTTACTTGGTTAAGGTGCTCTCTGCCAGATTTTTGCACGATAGAGATATTTTTTTCATTATTGTTTAGTACCTTGGGGAGATTTACTGACTGATACATATAAGCCATCACATTTAATTAGGAAGCTCTTCTTTCTTTTTAGATTCTCCTCGCTTATAGCTTGCTTTGGAAAATGAAGGCTCTCGTGTTTGTTTATTGGTTAGATAAACTGAAATAAACACAGGCTCTGCCACTTCCTGCATGTTTGAAAAAATATTTTCCTTGGCCCAGACACAGTGGCATCACTGTATGGCTCACTTAGAAATTCAGAGACTCAGGCTTCACCCTAGGTCCTCTGAATCACAACCTGCATTTTAAGAGGATCTCTAGTTTATTGTGTACGCATTAAAATTTCAGGGGTACCTTCTGATGAATCATGACCTCTACATATGAGAAATATTTACAGTTTATCCTGTGTGAGGTAAATAGAGCAGGAAAAAATGTATATGCCTGCGTTGATGCCCTTAATTTTATACTGTATTATTCACAAGAGTAGAATATGTACACTGGTTATGTGGAGCTTATGCCATCCTCTTTCTTCAGGATTAAAGAATATGTTAGAGAATATTTCTGTGTTTACAATTATTTGATCATTTCAGTCTCTTCTATAAGTAAGAACCAGTTCTCTCTGTCTCTCTTTGTGCCTGGAATCAGATTAAGAACTCTGCCCATGACCACTTGATACGTATGTGTTTTTTCTTTGCCAGGGACTGTTGATATTCAGGGATGTGGCCATAGAATTCTCTCCGGAGGAGTGGAGCTATCTGGACCCTGCTCAGCAGAATCTGTATAGGGACGTGATGTTAGAAAACTACAGAAACCTGGTCTCCCTGGGTGAGGATCGCTTCAATGCATAATTTCTATTTTACACTAAGGATTTTATTTCCTTCATTGTAGAATATTTTTTGGAATTCTGCTTTGCACGAATGAATTTCAGATTTCTGCTTTCAAGGAAAACTTGGGGATTTGTTGGTGTAGAACAAAATAATCTTGAAGGTATTTTATCTTGACACTAACCTTCCTTTCTTGAGGTGATGTGCGTGCTCAGATGAGTGGTGGCAATTCCAGAAATTTAGTAGCATAAAATAGTGTTGCACACACCCTGAAAAATCCAGTTACCACCACCGATTCTTGATTCAGTGGTATTAGGTAGTGAAGCTAGGGACTCACAAATTTAAAATACTTCCCAAATATTCTAAAGGTTCTGTCATTCTTGATTCAGTAGTATTAGGTAGTGAAGCTAGGGCCTCACAAATTTAAAATACTTTCCAAATATTCTAAAGGTTCTGTCAGGAAACAGTATTTTGGGATTAATTTTTAGAATCTTCTATTTCCTTATTTCTCTACTGAGCACAGTACTAGGTTGGTAATTAGAGAATCCAAGCAAGAGTCATGCTACTTCTTAAAAAATAAAACAGGTCCTTTGAATTTTTTTTTAAAAATAGGTATTGCTGTCTCTAAGCCAGACCTGATCACCTGTCTAGAGCAAAGGAATGAGCCCTGGAATGTGAAGAAACATGAGACAGTAGCCAGACACCCAGGTAGGTGGGAGTAAATGAAGTGGATGATACAGATGAGAGGTTCAAAGATCAAGGCGGAAGCCAGACCTTAAAATGTGGTTTGAGAAGCTCTGCTCCAATGGAAATGGTTTCTGAGAAGCCTGAGTTTCTTTCCCTTGCTGTCACATAGGAACACCTTCTGTCCCATGCTCTGAAATTCTTTTACGGCTCTACTTTCCCTTCAGTGATCTTTCTTCAAGATGACAGTGACAGCCAAAGGCTTTTTCATAGCTTGGAACAGACCGTATGATCTGATTGTTCTTCCATTGCTTTGGGGACACAGGAATATCTGTGTATTTTTGAGAAACTGTTTGTTAAGCTATTTTTTAAGTTCCCTTTTTGCATTATGTCTAAGGCGTGTGAGAGCAGTGGGATTTGGCTCAGAATCCCAGGAACACCAGAACAGATGTTACATGTTTTCTGCTTTGTGATTTCCCATTCTATAGAGGTTTTAAATGTCATTCTATAGAAATTTATACTCAGTAATTTTATAAGAACACTAGACATCTCCCTAAATGTAAGAAACTGTTATTTTTTATTAAACATTTATTGTTTTAGTATAAACAGAGACTGGTAATTTAAACTCTGCCCCAAATTCTCAACTGTAGTGTGGTTTAGTGTATCTGTTCACTTCTGTATTAGTCAGTTTTCACACTGCTAACAAAGACGTACCTGAGACTGGGAAGAAAAAGAGGTTTAACTGGACTTAACTATTTCCACATGGCTGGGGAGGCCTCAGCAGCAAGAGAAAATGAGGAAGAAGCAACAGCAGAAACCCTTGAGAAAGCCATCAGATCCCATGAGACTTATTTACTATCATGAGAATAGCACGGGAAAGACTGGCCCCCATGATTCAATTACCTCCCTCTGGGTCCCTCCCACAGCACGTGGGAATTCTGGGAGATGCAATTTAAGTTGAGATTTGGGTGGGGGCACAGCCAAACCGTATCAGCTTCCTAGATTTCTTAAATATGCTGTGTATTTGGGTAGCTTAGAGCAGTGCTCAGCATATGTTTAACTTCCACTTGCTACCTTAGTTTATAATAACTGTAATTTTATAATTTTGTTTGGAATGACCGGAACTGTTATTCATATATATGTTGGTGTGTATACATTTGTGTATATATGTACATGTGTGTAACATGGATTTTTTCACAAATAAAAAGTGTGTAAGTATTGTGTACAATGTGATGATTTGATACAACTATCTTAGCAAATTTTAAGCATACAGAATGCTATTATGAACTACAGTCACAATGCTATACACAAGATCCCCAAAATGTATTTATCTTATAATGGAAAGTTGTACTCTTTGAACAACAGCTCCCAATTTTCCCTAACTCCAGCCTCTGGCAATCATCTTTGTACTCTCTGCTTCTTTGAGTTCAACCCTTTTTGATTCCCCTTATAAGAGAGATTATGCAGTATTTTTCTTTCTGTGCCTGGCTTATTTCACTTGGCGTAATTTCCTCCATGTTCATCCATGTTGTTGAAATGGCAAGATTTTATTATTTTTAATGGCTGAATAACATTCTAGAGTGTGTGTGTGTACTTTTATTTTTAGTGTCTGCAAACATTTAGGTTGTTTTCATATCTTGGCAATTGTGAAAAATGCTGCAATGAACATGAGCGTACAGTTTTTTTTCTTTTGAGATAATTATTTTATTTCCTTTGGTTATTTACACAGAAGTGGGATTGATGAATTATATGGTAGTTTTACTTTTTCATTTTTCAATTAAGAACCTCCATACTGGTTTTGCTAATGGCTCTATCAGTTTACAACACAGCAACAACATATGGAATTTAGTTTTCTTCACACCTGTGTCAATACTTGTACTGGCTTATTTCAGTTAACATAATATTCTCAAGCTTTATCCTTATCATACAATGTGACAATATCTCCTTTAAGGCTGATAATATCAATCTTATGTATATGCCACATTATCTCTTTTGTAGATTTTTTTATTTGTATGAATTTAGGGTATAAATTAATTTTCTTAAGTGGAGAGATTATGCAGTAGTGAAGTCAGGGCTTTTGTCCATCCCTTGAATAATACACATCTCTCTTCTTTTTGATATTTGCCATCCAAACAGGTGTGAGGTGATGTCTCATCGTGGTTTCGAGTTGCAGTTGTTTGATGACCGGTGATGTTGAGCACCTTTAAGGATACATTTTTAGTAACGTTACACGTATTCACATTGTTATGCAAAAGACCGCTAGAAATGTTACATCTTGCAAAATCAAAACTCAGTACTCCTTAAGTAAGAACTGCCCATTTTATTCTCTCTCCGGCCCTTGGCAAACACCCTTCAGCTTTCTATATGATGTTGGCTACTTAAGATATTATATAGAAGTAGAATCATACACTGTCACTGGTACTGGCTTATTTCGGTTAACATAATATTCTCAAGCTTTATCCTTATCATACAATGTAACAATATTTCCTTCTTTAAGGCTAAATAATATCAATTTTATGCATATGCCACATTTATTTTTATCTATTGATCATTTGGGACATCAGGGTTGATTCTGCATTTTGGCTTTTGTGAATAATGCTGCAATATATCTTCTAGGTTCTGAGTTTGAATATATACTCAGAAATGGGATTGCTGGATTATATGATAATTCCATTTTTAGTTTTTTGAGGAATCTCTATACTGTTTTTTAATAGTGGCTGTGTCATATTTTTTCATCAATAGCGCACACAGGTTTCCATTTCGCCACATCCTTGACAGATTAGTTTCTGTTGGTCTTTTTTTTCAGACAGGTTCTTGCTCTGTCACCCATGTAGGAATGCAGTGGTGCAATCTTGGCTCACTGCAACCTCCGCTTCCAGGGTTCAAGTGATTCTTGTGCCTCAGCCTCCCGAGTAGCTGGGATTGCAGGCATGCACCACCATGCCTGGTTAATTTTTATATTTTTTGGCAGAGATGGGGTTTCACCATGTTGGCCAGACTAGTCTCGAACTCCTGGCCTCATGTGATTCACCCGCCTCAGCCTCCCAAAGTGCTGGGATTGCAGGCATGAGCCACTGTGCCCAGCCTCTGTTCATTTTTAATAGTGGCCATTTTGATGGATGTGAGGTGATAGCTCATTGTGATTTTGCTTTGCAGTTCTCTACAAATTAGTAATTTTCAGCTTTCTTTCAAGTGCCTGTTGGCCATTTGAGTATTATCTTTTAAAGAAAAGTCAGTTCAATCCTTTGTCTGTTTTTAAATCAAATTATTATTTTTGGGGGGCTGAGTTTTAGGAGAGATACATTCTGTACGTTAACTCCTATCAAATATCTAATAGGTCAATATTTTCACCCATTTCTAAGGTGACATTTTCATTCCACTAATTGGTTCCTTTAATGTTCAGAAATTCTGAAGTTTGATGTAGTTCAGTTTTTTTGTTCTTTGTTGCTTATGCATTTGACATCATATCCAAGAAAACGGTGCAAAGACCAATGTCATGATCTTCTCTATATTTTCTCCTGAGAGTTTTGTTATATTTTTATGTTTAAGCATTGAATCCTTTTAAAATATTGTTTGCATATAATGCAAAGGAAGGGTCCAACTTAATTTTTTTCATGTAGGTACTCCGTTTTCAACATGGTTTGTCGAAGAGTCTCTCCCTGTTGTGTGGCCATGGCAACCTTGTGGAAGATCATTTGATTGTATCCAAAAGGGTTTATATCTAGGTTCTCTCTTGTTTCATTATCTCTTTATTCATATTTGTCTTTTTATAGCTTTGTGTAATATGTTTGAAACCAGGAAGTGTAAAGCCTCTTCTTATTCTTTTTATTTTATAGTTGTTGTTGTTGTTGTTTTGTTTGTTTGTTTGTTTTAATAATAGAGGCAGGGTCCAATCTGGCTTCAAACTCCTGGCCTCAATGATCCTGTCATGTTTACCTCCCAAAGTGCTAGAATTACAAGCATAAGCCACCACACCCATCCTTTTCTTCTTTTGAAATGGTATTTGGCTAGTCATAGTTTCTAAACAAATTTTAGGATTTGGAAAATATTTCTGCAAAAAAAGTACCATTGGGATTTAGATAGAGATTACGTTGAATTTGTACATCACTGTTGGTACTGATACCTTTTTTTTTTTTTTTTTTTTTGAGACAGAGTCTTGCTCTGTCACCCAGGCTGGAGTGCAGTGGTGCGATCTTGGCTCACTGCAAGCTCTGCCTCCTGGGTTCATGCCATTCTCCTGCCTCAGTCTCCCGAGTAGCTGGGACTACAGGCACCCGCCACCACGCCTGGCTAATTTTTTTGTATTTTTAGTAGAGACGGGGGTTTCACCGTGTTAGCCAGGATGGTCTCAATCTCCTGACCTCGTGATCCACCCGCCTCAGCCTCCCAAAGTGCTGGGATTACAGGCATGAGCCATCGCACCCGGCCAGTACTGCTATCTTAACAAAAAAATCATCTGACCCTTGAGCAAGAATGTGTTCAACAGTGTGTTTAATTTCTACATATTTTGGATTTGGTTAGAAAAAAATACATTGTTTGATTTCAGTCTTCTTAAATTTGGTCAGTTGTTATGTGTCCTAACAGAATGAATATGCAATTGAGAATATTGCGTATTCTGCTGTTTTTCCTGGAGAATTCTGTACATGTCTGTTGGGTCTAATTAGTTTATAATCCTTAAATTTTCTGTTTTCTTACTGATCTTCTATGTGATTTTTCTATTCATTATTGAAAGTGGAATCTTGAAGTTTACAATTGTATTGCTGTGTATATCTCAGCTCATTTCTGTCCATATTCGCTTCATATATGTGGCAGCAAATATTGCTTCATATATATATATATAGATATAGATATAGATATATATACACACACACACACACACACACATATACTATATATACATATATATGTATGCTTGTGTGTGGAGTGTGTGTATATAAAACTGTTAAAGATTTTTGGTAAATAGGCCTATTTTACCATTATATCAATCTTTGTCTTGTGTGACAGTTTTTAATTTAAAATGTATCTTGTGTAATATAATTGTGGCCACACCACCCAATTGTGGTTACTATTTTCATGGGACATATTTTTTTCATTCTTTACTTTCAGCCTGTTTGACTCCTTTAGAGCTACAGTTGAGTCTGTTGTATACAGCATATTTTAGAATCTTGTTTGTTCTTAATCTATTCAGCCATTTTCTTTTCATTAAGGAATTTAATCCATTTATATTTAAAATAATTCCTAAAGGAAATGGCAGTACTATTACCATCTTGTTTGTAATTGTTTTCTGTTCCTTGTAGATATGTTGTCCCTCATTTCCTTTCTCACCTCTCTCACTGCCTGTCTTTTTGTTTTGTTGACTGTGCAGTGACATGCTCTGATTCTTTTCTCATTTTCTTTTGCATTACTTCTATAAGTACTTTCTTTGTGATCACCTTGAGAAATGGACAGTTCATAAAACTTCTTAAAGTTCTAATAATCTATCTCATAACTTCCCTACAATTGAGTATAAGAACTATTTATCTTTATATCCCCCCATTTGATATTAATGTCAAAAATTATATCATTTTATATTGTGCATTTATTAATAGATTTACAGAGATTTACGTTGTTTTTCACATTCTGCAGAGTTTTTGGTTTTATGTAACATTGGACAAGTCTATATCTGTGTATATATTTACCTTTAACAGCTTTATATTTTCATATGAATTTATGATGTTCTCCAGCATCATTTTATTGTTCAACATAATGGACTGCTTTTATCATTTCTTGTAGGACTGTACTAGTAGCAGCAAACATTCTCAGCTTTTGTTTATCTTGGAAGTCTATTTTTCACTTATTTTTGAAAGTAAATTTTTTTTACATCAAGTATCCTTAGTAATATTTTGGTTTTATCTCATTGAAAGTTTAGAAGTTCTCAGCCCCCCTCCCCTTTTTTTTTTTTTAAATAACTTACCGCTTTTCACCTATATCTTCTAAGTCTCTTTTTATGGATATATTGGTCTACTGAATGGTTTCTATTAAGTCCAATATTCCATCTTCATTGTTTTCCATTTTTAAAATTTTGCTTCCACAACTCAATATTTATAAATGATATGTCTTCAATTTGCTGATGTTTTTTCTGCCTCATTAAGTCTGCTGTTTTGGCTCTTCAGTTAATTTTTCAACACAGTGTATTTTCCAGCTCAACAATTTTAGTTGGGTTTTTTTTTTTTTTTTTTTTTTTTTTTTTTGTTGGGGGCAGAGTCTTGCTCTGTTGCCCAGGCTGGAGTGCAGTGGAGTGATCTTGGCTCACTGCAACCTCTGCATCCCAGGTTCAAGCAATTCTCCTGCCTCATCCTCCTGAGTAGCTGAGATTACAGGTACCCGCCATTACGCCCGGCTAATTTTTTGTATTTTTAGTAGAGACGGGGTTTCACCATGTTGGCCAGGCTGGTCTCGACCTCCTGACCTCGTAATTCACCTGCCTCAACCTCCCAAAGTGCTGGGATTACAGGCGTGAGCCACCACACCAAGCTTAGTTGGGTTCTTTTTTATAGGTTTTTTTTTTTTAAAATCTCTTTGTTGATGTATTATTTTCCTCATGCATGGTTTTCTGTTTTTTTTTTTTTGTTTTTTTTTTTTTTATAAACAGGGTTTCACTCTCTCATCCAGGCTGGTGGTGTGTAGCGGTATGATCATAGCTCACTGTAGCTTCAAACTCCTCAGCTCAAGTGATCCTTCCACCTCAGCCTTCTAAGTAGCTGGGACTATAGGCATATACCACCATGCCTGGCTAATTTAAAAAAAAAAATTGTAGAGACAGTCTCACCGTGTTACTCAAGCTGGTCTTGAACTCGGTCTCAAGCAGTTCTCCCACCTCAGCCTTCCAAAATGCTGGAATTCCAGGTGTGAGCTTCTGTACATAGCCAGGATTTATTTTTAAATGAACAACAAGGAGAGTATTTTACTTTATGTAAACCATAATGCTCTTGTCACCATGCCCAACCTGATTTTGTAGAGTTATCTATATGTGTTCTACTTTTGGTCATTGAACATGTTTAAGATGATTACTTTAAATTCTTTGTCAAAAAAATGCAAAAATCTCCCTTTTTTAAGGGTCAGTTTCTGGAGATTTGTTTCTTCAAGTAGGGCAGGTTTCCTATTTTCTCTGTGTGCCCCGTGATCACATACACAAAAATAAAATTCTATAGTACTAGAATGATGGTATATGAAACAACTATGCTCTGGTAATCTCATAGAAGCATGCTTATAGATGACACATTGCTTTTCCCTTTCTGTTTTTGAGATTCTCTTCTCATCTGTAATTTTTTGAAACTGCTTATAATGTATCTTGTTATGTGTCTGTTTGTGTTTATCCTATTTGAAATGTGTTGAGCTTCTTAATTTTTTTTTTTTACATTTGAGAATTTGTCAGGGTTTCTCATTTTCTTAATTTCATGTCTGTTTTCCTGTTTTACTCATTGGGCATTATTCAAATGGTTATCTCAGATTTTTCAGGTAACTTATACATCTCCATTTCTTTAGGGTTGATTTCTGGATATTTATTTATTTATTTATTTATTTATTTATTTATTTATTTATTTTTTTTTTGATTGAGCCATGTTACCCTAATGTATATGTTGCAATCTTTGGTTGAGATTTGGGCACTAAAAGCCATCTGTCAAAATCTTTATAAAATGGCTTTGTCCTGGATAATCTGATACCAAGTGACTTGGGCTAGGGTTTCCATGAGCCTCTCAAACCTATTCTCAGGATGTATGTTCTCTGGAATTTTGTGTTTAATTTCCAGTTAAAGAGGTTTACCCTTGTTTCTTCTTTCTTTCTTCTTCTCTAATCAATTATTTGCTAAATCTGTTGTCTGTCTGTAGTACTGCAGCCTCTCTGCTGCTATAACAATTATTTACCTTTGGTCTCAGCAGAACCAACCTTTGAATTAAAGGTTGGTTCTATTCTACCACTATTCCTTTCAGCACTTTGTGTCATGGGAGACAGAAACTAGTCTTTGGAAATTCCATCAAAAGTATGGGCATATGTGCCACTACTGTCTCTATTGAAGGAGAAGCTAGGAGTTGGGAGTTTATTCCTGAAGTCATTATGCTGTGTTTAGGAGAAGAAAGAGTTGTGGTGGGTAAATGTAACAAGCTTTCCTTCCCCTTGTCTATGGCTTTTAATATGGTTTCTAGAGTTCTCACAAAGGCATTTTGTTCAGTATATTTTTGTTATATTATGTTCATCAAAAAATCAGGGCCTGTAGTATTTTATTATGCTATCTCGCTAATGTGTTTGGTATAATTTCATATATTAGCTTTTTAAATTATATTCATCTAAGTCCAGTAAGTTGGATAATATGTTATTTTAATTTTTTTCAGCTGTTTCTTCTCATTTCACCCAAGACCTCTTGCCAGAGCATGGTATAAAAGATTCATTTCAAAAAGTGATACTGAGAAGATATGGAAGCTATGGCATTGAGAATTTACAATTAAAGAAAGATTGGGAAAGTGTGGGTGAATCTAAGGTGCAGAAAGAATGTTGTAATGGACTTAACCAATCTTTATCAACTACACATACCAAAATCTTTCAATTTAATAAATGTGTGAAAGTCTTTAGTAAATCGTCAAATCTAAATAGACATAAGATAAGACATACTGGAGAGATATCTTCCAACTGTAAAGAATGTGACAATTCCTTTTACATATCCTCAGTTCTAACTCCACTTCAGAGAATCCACACTGCAGAGAAATCCTACAAGTGTAAACAATGTGGGAAAGCCTTTAGGCACTGCTCATGCTTTCTTGAACATGAGACAATTCATAATGAAGAGAAACATTACAAATGTAAAGAATGTGGAAAAGTCTTTAAATCCTTCACAAGCCTTTCTAATCACATTATAATTCATACTGGAAAGAAACTCTATAAATGTGAAGAATGTGGCAAAGCTTTTAACCACAGTTCAAACCATGCCAAACATAAGAAAATTCACACTGGACAGAAACCCCATAAATGTGAAGAATGTGGCAAAGCCTTTAACTGGTTCTCATACCTAACTCTACATAAAAGAATTCATACTGGAGAGAAACCCTACAAATGTGATGAATGTGGCAAAGCTTTTAACCAGTGTTCAAACCTCACTAAACATAAGAGAATTCATACTGGAGAGAAACCCTACAAATGTGAAGAATGTGGCAAAGCTTTTAACCGGTGCTCACACCTTACTGAACATAAAAGAATTCATACTGGAGAGAAGCCCTATAAATGTGAAGAATGTGGTAAAGTCTTTATATCTTGTTCAAGCCTTTCAAACCATAAGAGAATTCATACAAGAGAGAAATGCTACAAATCTGAAGAATGTGGCAAAACCTTTAACCACTGCTCAGACCTCAATGTACCTGAGAAAATTCATACCTGAGAAAAATCCTACAAATGTAAAAAATGTGGCAAAGCCTTTAATACCTGCTCATGTCTTACTCAGGACCAGAGTTCATATTGAACTAAAGAATTATAAATATAATGACTGTCACAACACCTTTCACAGAAAAAAATAATTTTACCACAGATTAATTTGTTCATTAATGGAACTTTAATTCTGTGGTTTTTTTTTTTTTTTTTTGGTCTACATAAATCTGTCCTTATGCCAGTACTATATTGTTTAATTACTGTAACATTGTAGTAAGAATTTATATCAGGAGTGTAAGTTACTGAATTTTGTTATTTTTCAGAATTCTTGTGTGTTTGATTTTCTTTATATGTTTATATGGATTTTAGGAAGAGCTTGTCAATTTATATTAAAGAAAAGCTACATTGGAATTTGCATTGAATCTGTAGATAAATTTGTTGGGTATTTTGATCTTCATATTCAGTATTGCTATATTTGAATATTGAGTATATCTCAGTTTATTCAGCTCTTTGATTTCTTTCAGCATTTTAAATAATTTTCAGTGTATAGTATGTGCAGTTATTTTGTTAAGTTCATTTCTAATTTTTTTTTCTAGGATACTATTAATGAAATTTTAATTTAATTCTTATTTTGTTTATTCCTATAATATAAAAGTACTATCTAACCTTGTATGTTGATCTTGTGGCATTGATGAACTTCTATATTAGCTCAAGTAGGTTTTTATTTATTTATTACTTTATTTTATTTTATTTTATTATTATTTTTTTTTGAGACAGAGTCTCACTCTGTCACCCAGGCTGGAGTGCAGTGGCCGGATCTCGGCTCACTACAAGCTCTGCCTCCTGGGTTCACGCCATTCTCCTGCCTCAACCTCCCGAGTAGCTGGGACTACAGGCGCCTGCCACTGTGCCCGGCTAATTTTTTGTATTTTTAGTAGAGACAGGGTTTCACCATATTAGCCAGGATGGTCTCGATCTCCTGACCTTGTTATCTGCCCGCCTCGACCTCCCAAAGTGCTGGGATTACAGGCGTGAGTCACCATGCCCAGCCTCAAGTAGGTTTTTAATGAATTTCTTATACTTTTAAAATACAACATTATGGCAATAAAAGACTATTCCACTTCTTTTCTAATCTGGAGATTGTATTGATTTTTCTAGTGTAATTTTCTGGCTCATACCTCCAGTACAATGGTGAATAGTGGTATAAGTAGAAATTCTCGTCCTGTTTTCAAACTTGCAGATAAAGCCCCTAGTCATTCACCATTAAGTATATTAGCTTTTGGTGTGGAGTTTTTCATCTTGGCTCACTGCAGCCTCAACCTCTTAAGCTCAAGTGATCCTCCCACCTTAACTGCCTGAGTAGTTGGGACAATAGGCATGCACCACCATGCCCAGATAATTTTTTTTTTAATATTTTGTAAAGATGGGGATTCCCTATATTGTCCAGAATGGTCTTGAACTCCTGGCTTTATGCAGTCTTTCCACCTCAGCCTCCCAAAGTTCTGGGTTACAGGTGTGAGCCACTGCGCCGGGCCAATTTTGGTTTTTCATGGAGGACTTTTAGCAGGTCTCAAAAGTTTTCTTCTAATAGTTTTCTTGGTGTTCTATCATTCATAGGTGTTGAATTTACCAAACTTTTTCTATTTCAAGTATTACATTTTTACTTTGTTCAAGTAATATTGTATCATATTAAATGAACATTGCATTGTGAAAATACCCTGCTTAGTCATGGTATGTAATCATCCTTATACCTTTTTGTATTCTTTTTTTAAATATTTCTGAGAATTTCTGTGTCTAAATTTAAATAGGATGTTGTTTCGTAATCATCTTGTGATTCTTTTGTCTCCTTTGGGTATTATTGGCTAATAGATGAATTAAGAAATGTTACCTCTTCTACTGCTTGAAGTTTTTGTGAGAAATTGATGTTTTTCATTAAGTGTTGATGAAATGTACAACTTAAGCAGTTTATAACAGCTATTCTATCTAAAAAGATATAATTTTTTTGTTCTATGGATATAAGTATATTCTATTATATATATAATGAAACAATTCATAGGATGTTTTTTCAGTTTACTTTTGTAATCCATCTCTATCGGTATTTTTTATTTCATAGTATGTCATGAACAATTATTCTAGGCACTTGACATGGAATAATTTGAAAAAATAGAGAATGAGTCCCGTACTACAATCAATAAATAACTCAAAATTTTTTCCATTTTTAGGATGAAGAATATGAATATAGTTCTGTTACGTAATATTTGTGTTTACTGTGTGAGACAAATGAGTTACTGAATGTAAAAATAATTAGTAAAACTGCCCTTTGATTTTGGAATGTATGAAGCAGGCAAATGCCCCTACCTTCTATTTTTATCAATATTTAGATAAGGCAGACAAATAAATTTTAATAAGATATACAGAATAATCTTGTATTTGAAGAATGCTATGAAAAAAGATAGTTTGGAGGAGTAGTTAGTATTTGGCTCATATAATGTGTTAGGTAACTATTCTAAGCCATTAAACATTTGTATGCTTAATACCTAAGAGTTTAAAGTGAAGAAATCAAAGATTCATTGAAAAAGAAAAATTAAATTTTAAAAAAATTCTATTTTTAATTGAAAAATAATAGTTGTATATATCTGTCTACAGTGTAATATTTTGATATATGTTTATGTTGTAAAATGATTAAATCAAGTTAATGTTTATAACCTCATATAATTTTTGTGGTGAAAACATGGAAAATAGTCTTTATAGCAGTTTTGAAATACACATTGTAGTCACCATTCTGTGCAATTGATCACTAAATCTTATTTCTCCTAAGTGAAACTTGGTACACTTTGAAGAACATTTCCCCTCTTTTTATTCACCCCATCTCCTAGCCTCTGTCACATTTTCATTCATACTAGGTAACATTAAGATCATTATGGAAATTAACTTTTTGGTGCCCCACAACTAAATGAACATAAATAATGTTAACTTTGTTAGGAAGTTATAGTAATTACGCATAGGAACAAACGGCAGCTATTTTTGCCAGTAAACAAAGGATGCGCATTATTTTCAAATATTAGATATAAGTATTTTAGGTGGTAAAGTCTTAGGCCTAAAATACGTCATTGAGTTTATTACCCCAGAAACCCAGCAGGTCATATTTTCTGAACATTGTAAATAACAATAGAAATTATATACTAAAATGTTACCAGCAAGTACTATCTCACCACATGAAAATTGCATTGAAATTTTTTAATCTGTGGTTCAAATGGAAGACTCAAAGAGATTCTTTTATGGATTCAGGGAAGTGCTAATGAGGAAGCATGGTGATTGAAGCCAAAAATCTGAATTCAGGTAAGTAATTCTGCCAATATTTTCTTTTTTTTTTTTTGAGATGGAGTCTCGCTCTGTTGCTGGAGTGCAGTGGCACGATCTCCACTCACTTGCAAGCTCCTCCCGGGTTCACGCCATTCTCCTGCCTCAGCCTCCTGAGTAGCTGGGACTACAGGCGCCCGCCACCACGCCCAGCTAATTTTTTGTATTTTTAGTAGAGACGGGGTTTCACCGTACTAGCCAGGATGGTCTCGATCCCCTGACCTCGTGATTCGCCCGCCTCGGCCTCCCAAAGTGTTGGGATTACAGGCGTGAGCCACCGCGCCTAGCCAATTCTGCCAATATTTTCTCAGTGGTGTAGAAAATAAGTAGTTTTGGCCATATATAGGTACTGTTCTCTGAAGTAGAGTACATTTATCTCAGAAACTTATGCAAAATGTAAAATCAGTTCCCTAGTATTAAAGTTAAACTCTACAAATTATTACTTTACAGTATATTGAGGAAAGGATATGTTCTAAATAAAGTGACGAGATTTCTTGTCTGTTACAAAAAATTGTGTAAAATGTATTTCATGTGTACACTTGACATTTGTGCTTGTTGGAAAACTAGATTCTACACATTTTAAATGTAG
The DNA here is from genome assembly GCF_000001405.40 of Homo sapiens. Lineage (NCBI taxonomy): Eukaryota > Metazoa > Chordata > Mammalia > Primates > Hominidae > Homo > Homo sapiens. Next base: position 247,186,041 of record NC_000001.11, on the reverse strand, counting down.
AAAGCTAAAATTCTCAGAAAGTTACAAGAATCTTTAAAGGACTGTATAGCGTTGAAAGTGAAAGTAAAATATAATTTTCCAACTAGAGAAGCAAACCAAAGAAACCACTTATGAAAATAATCAACTGAGAACTAAGTGCTCCTCTTAGATATGGGCGATCAGAGTTGCCAGATCCGTGTGGGTGGCCCAACTTGCCATAAGGCAAATTTAAAAAACAAAGACATAAACTGCAGATGTCTCAAATGTAATGTCTCCCATAAGTGAATAGAAAATTAAAACGTATGTTACACACAGTTATAGGACTTATTTTTTAAATGTTTAAGTCAACACAATGAGAAAAATAGGAAAAAAAATGTTAAAGAGCAAATGACTACAAGCTTGACAAGCCATATTTGAAAAAGAGGCAAATACAAACAGTTGGAAGTAGAATCAACCTACTTAATATACAACATACGGGTTAAATATTAAATTAGTCTCAGCTGATGAGATTAGTGAACCGAAATACTGAGCACGATTAATGTAGTTAAATACAGTAAAAAGAGAAAACACCCGCCGACCCCAGCAGAAGGCACTAAGGCCTGACGCCTGACCCCTGCCCCGCCTCCGAGCCCCAGCCTCTGAGGCAGTCTCCAAGCCTTTGGGAGTAGCTTCTGAAGATGAATTGGTGGGTGAATTCCTGCAGGACCACAGTGTACCCTTGTATCCCGTGCCCCTCAGACCTTCAAGATGGATGAACTCCTGGCTGAGATGCAGCAGACTGAAGAGTCAAACTTCCTCCAGGCTCCCCAGAGAGCCCCTGGTGTGGCCGACTTGGCCTTGTCTGAGAACTGGGCCCAGAGTGACTTGCAGCTGGAGATGCTGTGGATGTAATTCAGGATTATAATGAGACAGACTGGTCCCAATCATTCATTTCTGAAGTTACAGACCCCTTGGCCATTTCCCCCACCTGCTGGGCTGAGGAATATTTGGAGCAATTGGGAGAAACTGTGGTTGGGAGAGCCTAAGGGAGCAGCAGCCACCGGTCGTTGGACGATGAATGTCATCTTGAGGAGGATGTGCAGCACATGGCCAGTGACTTTGTGGCCAAAGGGGATGACCCCAAACTGGCTAATTGTGAGTGTACATCAGATGCCTGGGTTGACCATTCACAAGACGAGTAAACACAGCTGCCCTTGATAGGGAGTTTGAACGCGCCAAGTCAGCTGTAGAGTTGCAGACAGAGTTGGAGGAGAAGGCAAAACGGGATGCTGACACTCACCCCTGGCTTTCTGGCTATGATGACCTCGCATCAGCTTCCTATGATAAGGGGTACCCGTTGGAGGAGGAGAACCCCCTGCGTGATCACCCTCAGCCTTTCAAAGAAGGGCTGCAGCGACTTCAGGAGAGGGCCCTCCCAAATGCTGTGCTGCTTTTTGAGGCAGCTATGCAGCAGGATCCTAAGCACATGGAAGCTTGGCCGTATCTGGGTACCAACCAGGCAGAGAATGAACAAGAACTGTGAGCCATCAGAGCATTGCAGAGGTGTCTGGAGCTAAAGCCAGATAAGCACTGATGGCCCCGGCTGCAGGCTTTACCAATGAGCCTCTGCAGTGACAGGCCTGTGAAACCCTGCCACACACCAGCCTGTGGCTATCTGGTGACACCTGCTGAAGAAGGGGCTGGCGGGGCAGGACTGGGCGCCAGCAAGCATATCTTGGGATCTCTGTTGTCTGACTCCCTGTTTCTTGAAATGAAAGAGCTCTTCCTAGCAACTGTGCAACTGGACCCTACATCCATGGACCCTGATGTGCAGTGTGGCTTGCAGGTCCTTTTCAACCTGAGTGGAGAATACGACAAGGCCATGAACTGCTTCACAGCTACCTTCAGTGTTCATCCCAATGACTATTTGCTGTGGAAGGAAAACCAGAGTGAAGAAGCAGTAACTTCATACTGCCAGGCCCTTGAGCTCCAGCCTGGCTATATCCAGTCCCGCTATAACCTGGGCATCAGCTGCAGGGCTCACTGGGAGGCTATAACCTGGGGCTCACTGGGAGGCTGCAGAGCACTTTCTGGAGGCCCTGAACATGTGGAAGAAAAGCCGGGGCCCTCGGGGTGAAGGAGGTGCCATGTCGGAGAACACTTGGAGCACCCTGCATTTCGCATTCTGTGTTAGGCCAGAGCGACGCCTGTAGGGCGGCTGATGGCTGGAATCAGTCCGCCCTGCTAACCGTGTTTGGCCTGCCCCAGTGACAGTGGGATGGGCTGCCCTGTGGTGTCCGCCTAGATGGGTCCCCCCTCTGGATGTGATGTGAGTCCCTCCCCCCAAATGCACCTACCAAGCGGGTGGGCTGATGACCGATGACCGTAAGCAGTAAGGCCTGTCAGAAGCTGCCTCAACATAGGGGTGGGTAGTCCGTGTTCCAGTTCCTAGATAATCGTAGGAAAACAAGGCTTGTTTTCTCTGAGTCCCTTAGTAATTTAAGGGCTGTACATCCAGCTACAGAGCCCTCTGCTCATCATGCCCGTTCTTTTTGGATAGGACCCAGTGATCTAGGCTAACTGTTGTCATCAGCTACCATTTCTGATAGGGTCTACCACATTTGTCATGTCTGTCCTTTCCCCCACTGTTACTGGGAATTGGTAATGGTTCAGTGCAAGTAGGAGGTTCATCTACTGCGCGCCTCCAGTGATGACTGTCTGGGATGGGATGTTAGGAGTTGGCCTGTTGGGTTGAATTGTTTATTTGGCTCTGCAGAGCTGAGTTTTGGTAGGGGTTCTAGAGTTCCGTCATTCTTGGACCTCTCCTGGCTGAGCTCCGAGTCCCTGTGAGTACGATGCTGATGCAAAAATGCTGTGTCATCATCCCAGCAGTCCTCAGGAGCTGCCAGGGCCAACAGTTACAGAGTGTCTGTCTGAGTGTGGGGTGGGAGGAAGGTTCACTTGTGAAATGAGGCTGGGTGGGAGCGGGGAGGGACTAGATCAGATGAGATCAAGAGCTCTGTTCTGGGGCCTTGGTGGGAGAACAGAGCAAGTGGGAAGCGGGTGTGATGAGTGCAGCAATCCCTCCTCCTCTTAGAAGTACCTGTGAATAGGAATTAGGCTAACTCTTCTAGTAGGTTGGTTCACAGGTTGCAAACTTGCTAAATTGCTAGCAAAGAGCAGGTTCAGTGTTACCGTAAGACTTGGCTGTACCTCTTGCAATGTTTCTAGGGGAAAGCACTGGAAAATCCCCTTCCCCCATATTGTCTCCAGAAGGTTAAAATTGAGGGAAGATGAGGGAGCAGCTTGGATTCTTCTCAATTGTCCCTTGCATGGGGAGATACACTAACCCCTAGAAATGACTGCTAAGCCTCTTGCCTTGTCTTCAAGTGGCTAATGATCAGAAATATATATATATATATATATTTTTTTTAACTACAATGGTCCCAAGATTCCATTCTGAAATTTATTTTTCTTCGTGTGAATATGTATAAATGATTTACAAATAAGACTAAAATATTTGTTAAAAAAAAAAAAAAAAAAAACAGCCAGGCCCGGTGGCTCACGCCTGTAATCCCAGCACTTTGGGAGGCTGAGGTGGGCGGATCATGAGGTCAGGAGATCCAGACCAGCCTGGCCATCATAGTGAAACCCTGTCTCTACTAAAAATACAAAAAAATAGCTGGGTATGGTGATAGGCGCCTGTAATCCCAGCTATTCCAGAGGCTGAGACAGAAGAATCACTTGAACCTGTGAGGCGGAGGTTGTAGTGAGCCAAAATTGCACCATTGCACTCCAGCCCAGGCGACACTCCAAGACTACATCTCAAAAAAAGAAAACATAAAACAAATACATATATCTATGAAGACTAGAATGCTAGAATGAGAAGGAATAGGACAAATCTCTTTTTTTGTGGGATATATTAAAAGAATTTGAGGCTGGGCACAGTGGCTCACGCCTGTAATCCCAGCACTTTGAGAGGCGGAGGCGGGCAGATCACCTGAGGTCGGGAGTTCGAGACCAGCCTGATCAACAGGAAGAAACCCCGTCTCTACTAAAACATACAAAATTAGCCAGGTGTGGTGGCGCATGCCTGTAATCCCAGCTACTCGGGAGGCTGAGACAGGAGAATTGCTTGAACCTGGGAAGTGGAGGTCGTGGTGAGCCAAGATTGCGCCACTGCACTCCAGCTTGGGCAACAAGAGCAAAACTCCATCTCAAAAAAAAAATTTTTTTTGAATAATGCCTTTAAGAGTTGGTGGTTTGTAAGTTTCTAAACTGAAAACCAAACATAAATCCTTGAATTCAGAAATGCAGTGTGTCAAAAAGTGAAAAAAAAAATTACTTTAATAAGCTGGATAACACCAAAGAGAAGAAAAATACTAAAAATCAGTGTGAGAAAGAGGTAAGTTGCAAAGATGAGAGCAAAATTTCTACAGCTTTTATAAAACCCAAAACATAAATAGGAATGGAGCTAAGAGAAAGTATTTATTAAAGCTAGAAGTAGATACTCGGCTAAAATACCTTTAACAAAAAACGGTAAATTAAAATATATTTTTAAAACCCTGAGTGATTTGTTTACCAATAGGAGCTTTTTAAAAGTGTACTTCAAGAAGGAAAAATAATATTTCATGTATAAGATTAAAAATGAAAGTGTGGCCGGACGCGGTGGCTCACACTTGTAATCCCAGCACTTTGGGAGGCCAAGGTGGGTGGATCACGAGGTCAGGAGATTGAGACCAGCCTGGCCAACATAGTGAAACCCGTCTCTACTAAAAATACAAAAATTAGCCAGGCGTGGTGGTGCGTGATTGTAATCCCAGCTACTCGGGAGGCTGAAGTAGGAGAATCGCTTGAACCCAAGAGGCGGAGGTTGCAGTGAGCCGAGATCATGCCACTGCACTCTAGCTCAGGCAACAGAGCGAGACTCTATCTCAAAAAAAAAGAAAGTGTAAGAGACTTGATTTGGAAATATCAAACCCTGATGGACATTGAACTAAAGATTAGACTTTGGCAGCATCAAGCAACTATTTAGATATAATGAAATTGCTATTTAATTCATTGCATTTAAGTTAACAAATTCTGTGCCATTTGCACAGTTTAACTGGTGGCAGAAAAATCTACTTCTCTTCAGAAGATTTTTGTCCCAGTGCAACCTTGTTAAAAATGGGTGGCACTTTGTTAGAATATTTTTTTGGAATATTGATGATTCTTCTGTCAGGAATGATTTGTACCAAAGGACAGACAGTGGCACAGAGAGTGACCACAGGCATCTGGACATCCCGGGTGACTGGGCCATGAACCCACCACATGGTTAAGGAGGATGAAGTAATAACGTCCACTGAGTATGTGACCACAGAGCAACTCACCAGAAGACACAGGCTGGTCTGCATGGCCCTTTTCTCTGGGGAGGCTCTTGGGGAGCGGCTGGTGTTGCGAAGGCTCTGGTATCACCTCTCATGCCTGAACAAGAGAATGACCGTGTACATACTGGACAGCAGCATGATTCCTGAAAAGAAAATATTCTGAAATAACATTAGAATAAAAATCAGTCCCCCGAGGATGGAGCTCATTGGAGAAAGTGAGCAGAAGTCACCGACACTCGGTAAATTGAATTCGTCTGGGTCACACTGAAATAAGCTACAGTGCAGATGATCATGCTACTACTGGAAGATAATTTATGTTTTTAAGTCTCACCTACCACAAGATGCTAGGGCTGATGGTGATGGCCTGGAGCATGCTCAGGAGGCAGGTGGTGGTGATGGCCAGACCCCTCATCACCCTGTTCATGGAGAATAATGCTTGACATTTGAAGTCCTTCCAAAAATTCAGTGACTCAAACACCATCTAAAGAGAAAAAAATCCACTACAGTGGGGTGCATCATTGAGTGAACAAAAGTCAAGTGACAGGTGATCAGGTCCGTGTGCTTCGGCCTGTGATCCAGGAGTGTGAAGATGAAGAAGAAAAGGAGAAAGGTGTTGACTGGGACTGCAATGTCAGCTTGAAAACAGAAGGTATTTTTTAGTAATTACATAAACCAAAATTGTGTTCTTAATAATGAACTTTATGTATTTTTCATATTTTACTTTTTTTTTTTTCAAGACAGGGTCTTGCTCTGTCACCCAGGCTGAAGTGCGGTGGTGCAATAACGCACTACGTTCTGGGCCCCCTGGGCTCAAGTGGCTACCTGCCTTCGTCTCCCAAACAGCTAGGATTCCAGGTGAAGCTAATTGTTAAAAAATGTGTAGTGGGGATGGAGTCTTGCTATGCTGCCAGGCTTGTCTTTAAAGTGATTCTCCTGCCTTGGCCTCCAAAAGCACTAGAATTACAGGTGTGAGCTACTTCACCTGGCCAGAAATTGGCTTTGTACATCAGAAAAACCCCCAAAAATCTCACTTCATCATTGTTAATTCTGCATTAGTCAAAATTATCACAAATCACTTTTATTGTTTTGCCCTCTTAATCTTGGTAAGCCCTATCTCATATAAATTCTTGATAATCCAGCCTCTGCATCATTTTCTACACCAATTAGTATATGAAATACCAACACATTCACAGTCTTCCCCTTATAAGATGCGCACTGTCTATTCCTGGGTATAGATACCCATGGTACCTGGGCATCCCTCTTTAGAAATCGTATCTTTGTTCTGCATTCTTATTTTATATTTAGCACATCGATGCTACAAATATATAAAATTACCCAATCATATGTGCACAGTGGAACTGAATAAAATTTATGCTAATAGGGAAAGAATCACCAAAACAATGGAAAAAAATAATATCTAGTTGTCTTTCTGACATGCCGATCTTTCAACGCTTTTAATTCTTCGTCTCTCACATTTTGAACCTTTATGATTAGACGTTTGAACCTACCATAGTAATTCAGGATAGTATCCTTATTTTTCACCAACAAATTAGCAATTTTGATCCCATGTGCAACTTCTCATACCCATTGCCATGGAATGTATATTTGCTGTATCTGAGAATTAGAACATGGACACCTTTGGAGGGCATTATTGTGCTTACCAAACCCTATTAGCTGTATCACATAAAAATGGCTCTGGCTCTCTTTCAGTTTAGTTTCCATCTCAAAAATAAATTACCTACATCTCAACAGAGGATCCCCAGTGTCCAGCTCTGAATTGTCAAGAGAATAACACTAGTTGTAATCACTTGTGACAACCATAAAGTCGCATCAAAAGGATCAAATGTTGATCCTTTTCTTGAGATTCCACTTAATACAGAGATCTCCTCTTTTGCTTTGAAAACACTTATTTCTCCAATAATAAAGGTAGTTTCCCTCTAGTTTTATTAGGATATCTGTAATATCAGAACACCTGGCATAATTTCACTGAGCAATTTTGAAATTACTCTCTAATGTTACTGGCCAAGGTGCAGGCATAATTGTTTTATCAAATTAATCCAGTGATTAGAACAAGTCAACTTAACGATACAAAAAATTAGAAAACCATTCCACACCGCTCAGTTTTTTTCTGAGATGGCAGCTGTCCAATTATATTTTAAAGGTCACTTATCACAATACCATCCCATGTACGGAGCTATCGGTGATAGATTAGGTAGATGTAGATATCTCAATGCAGAAATGGTGACAATTAGTATTTTTGGCTCTTACTCAGAAATTAACGGCTAAGGTAGAAAATTTCTCTAAAACAACCTCATATGTATGAGCCAATCATTTCAACCTCATATGTTGAAATGATTGCTAATACATCTGCAAAATCTTAGTAAAGGAACACACTTCCAGAACCAAACAACTGACAGTTCCATGAACACGCACCTTAACCCTCAGCACAACTTGGTTTTGCTGTCATGATAAAACCAGGAAAAGAGCCAGGATATCGTTGATTTAAAGGCTTAATGGTCTCTCTTTTGGGGATTATAGCTCCAGTAAAAGAATACTTGGATGTGGACTATTAATATATGTGCAATTATTTATAAACTACATGTCCATATAAATTTGTTAATAAAACACATGGAAGCCATATAACAGAAAGAGATAAAATAGGAAATCTGATGTTTTATTCTCTTAAGATATATTTAGTTCACCCCATGTATTTCACACCCTTCTCTCTACAAATAACAATCACATGCTGAAAAATACTTTATCTGCTGAATCATCAGATGGAGTCTCTCTCTAACAAGTCTCTTGAGGTCATTGGTGTTGAGACTGCACAAGGAAGGATCACAATACTGTGGATTAGAATTGACAGCTAAAGTATATTATTTTCATTATTCCTTTTGGAAATTTATCTCTCAGAATCTAACTACTGATCATTGACAAAGACATATTTGTGCACTCAAAAGTCATTTGTCGTTTATTTAAATTTTAAAGTTAATTTTCTGTCCTATTTTTTACTTGATGAATCTGGCAACTTCACTATGAATCACAGGATTTACAATAATATGGTACTGACCTGGGAGAAACAATATAGAAGAACATAATCAGAGAGCTTATCTGTAGGTGGGTCAGAGTGCAAAGGACTATTGGGTCCTACCTGATACATTAAAAACTGATCAATCTAAATGCACATCTCAGCCCTCACTGTGAGAAGTGACAGCCATGGGTGGCTGGGGCTGAGGGTGAAGCTCCCGAGCCCTCTCAGGAAACAGATAATGCAGATCAAGTTCATCCTTATGTTGGCTTTCACCTCGGACTATTCTAAATATTGTAAGTCCCAGGTATTTACATAATTATGAATAATGATGGGAAAAATTTACCATTGAATGAACAAGAAACGAAAGACTGATTATAAAGTCTTGAGCTTAATCGACACCTCTGAAGAAAAGAGGAGTGTACTAGAATGAAAAACCATTTACACAAATCCACAAGCAATTTTACATGCAATTAATGTGTTCTTTGAAAAAAAAGTATCCCGTGTTTTGTTTTATTAATAAAAATGTCATTGTTATTATACACAAGTAACAGCCAGCATTTTAAAACCTATGACTGGTCATTGATAACATAAAATGATCATGAGAATTTCATGTTAAAAGTCAAAGAGGAGATGGCTAATGCATGCTGGGCTTAATACCTAGGTGATGGGTTGATAGGTGCGTGGGCCCAGACTCCCCTTTTCTCTGTGATTGGAGTGGATGCCAAGAGTGAGGAGAAGCCAGACAGTGGGAGCGAGCACTTCCAAGCCTGTGGGGGTGGGGGAACCTTCCTGAGCCCTCCAGAGTGCAGAGATGCCTGGGTCTGCAGCCATGGCGGCTGTGCCCAGGAGGATGGGCCTCCTGCCTGCTCCAGCTCCCAAGAGCACAGGGATGCCCAGCTCACCTATGGGTCAACCCCCAAGAACATTTATAATTTCTCTAGAATGGCATAACCCTTCCAAAAGCTGACGGGGACCTTGGGAATCTTCTTCCAGAGGGTCCTGGGTCAGGGATATTGGCCTGGCTGTGAGACAGACAACCTCCTACCCTCCCTGTGCCTCCTGGGCCAAGACGTGGAAGCCTCATCAGGATGCACTGCCACTGGCAACAGGCCAAGAACGGGGTCTGCTTGGGGGGCGCAGGTGGTTCGGGGGTCCCAGGAGAATTGAGAACTTCCTGCAGACAAGATGCCTCTTTTTCCTCATTTTTGGTCCAACTGATACACTGGATAGTGAGATAAACCTTACATTTTAATTTTTATGTATTTTTTCATTATATGCAAAATGTATACTTAAACAGACAGTGGATTTGAAGGGAAAAGTATTTGAGATTCATTCTTTCAAGTGTCATTTAGTCCTATATACATAGGTTTATATATATTATATATATAGTGTATATATATAGCATATATAGTAATGTATATATGTAGTGTATAGTATATATGTAGTGTATATATACTATATATGTGTATATATAGTATATATGTATATATGCATACATATGTATATAGTATACATGCATACATATGTATATAGTATAGATACATATATAAATATATATGCTATATGCTATATATAGGACTATATATATATACACATACACACACGCGTATATATATAGTCCTATATACATAGTCCTATATACAGATTTGCCCTATGTGTAACAACTACGTAGATAAAAAAGTTATGAAATTGTTTTTGGTTTTACAATGCTATATTAAAAACATTGAAATTCACCAATTGAACAATCTATGCAAGGGTATTATGGTTTTTTGTTATTGTTGTTTAAGTCCTGAAATACAGAGATAAGAGCTGAGTGAGCAGCCACTGGTGGAGAAACAGTCTTCACGGGGCCAGTATTTTTCTGCCCCGTCTCATTTGGCTGCGGATCAACACATGTCATTTAGTACAAACAAGCAAACAAAAATAGCAATATGCTTGTGTGCCTACCCCAGATGCTTTATGTGCAATAATGAAATGAGGAAGGGGAAGATAAGAGAATGGAGAAAAGGATACTGTACCAGCCAGAATGTGGAGTCAGAATGTGGTGTCAGAATGTGGAGTCAGAATGTGATGAAATCACATTGTGGGTTTCTACATGAGAATGTCTGCTGGAGTTGTAGGAAGAGGTCCTGGGTAAAGGAGCAGGTGTGTTCTTAGAAGGCCCTCCTGTCTGCTGCTGGAACACATCACCTGTTTATTCGTCCTCCATTTCCCGCTTTGCAGGTGTGTCAGTTTCACTGAGTGACCGTCCGTAAAATCCAAATCTGATTTGCTTCATGGCCAAACCCTGCCATTCACCATAGGCTTCCACTCCTTCATTCAGTGATGTGTACTTCTTCCCCTTCAACTGCGCCCCAGAACCATCCTACCCTCCACCTTCAAATTCACAGAATTGTTGTTCTGTCTTGACTCAAACTTTTTTCCTGCCACAGCAGAGCACTGAAAGTCTCTTAAGTTACAGCTTCACAACAGAAGTCTAAAGTCTGCGCAGAACTAGCACATCTGCAGCCGTAGGAGCAGCAGAATGACCAGGCAGCAGAGCTTTATTCCATGTTTTCATCTCCATTCCTACAACAGCAGCGGCAGCAGCAACAACTGCTACTACTTCTAATTGTGGTAAAAATACTTAGAATAATAATGCATAATGACAATTGTAGTTGACATTTTTGGTTTATATATGATTATTTGTAATGTTCTACAATTTACCTTTAGTAATATACACATAACTTTTGCATAAACATCAGGACCCTAAAACACCACACCTGATGATTGAATCTCACCTATGGACCTAAGGTCTTCACATGCTGGTGCAGGCCCTCTCACCACTCCATCTCCAAACAGAGGATATGGTCCACCTTCTGAGTCAATATAGTAGCCCTGACACTCACATGATCTATTTGAGGTCTTGGAAAACAAGCTTGCCTTGTTAAAAATCAAAGGATGGGCCGGGCACGGTGGCTCACGCCTGTAATCCCAGCACTTTGGGAGGCCGAGGCGGGCTGATCACGAGGTCAGGAGATGGAGACCATCCTGACTAACACGATGAAACCCCATCTCTACTAAAAATACAAAAAAATTAGCCGGGCATGGTGGCCGGCGCCTGTAGTCCCAGCTACTCGGGAGGCTGAGGCAGGAGAATGGCGTGAACCCGGGAGGCGGAGCTTGCAGTGAGCCGAGATCACACCACTGCACTCCAGCCTGGATGACACAGCGAGACTCCATCTTAAAAAAAAAAAAAAAAAAAAAAATCAAAGAATGGCTTCAAATTGTAGTCAGCTGTTTCGTTAAATTGCAGCAGGAAGAAATTTTTCTCAGCAGGTCTATTTTCATGTCACTTGCTTTCAGAGTAAGAGGTTATTTCAGACACAGTGGTTTGATTTAGTCTTTGTTGAAAATCATAAATAGCCTACAAACAACAAAAAGGGATGAATAGGATTTGCGTTCATGTGGAGTGCGTCATCTGTGCTTTTAAATTTATCCTATGAAAAGAAATAAAAAATATGTAATATCGAACATTGGTTTCCTAAATTAGCAAATCGACCATTTCCTCAAGTTATTCCACGTTCTTCCAAGATGTGTCAGAAGCATTCTCTGGAGGCAGTTGTTCCAAATGGTGAAGAGTACTAGATGGATCCCAATCTCACAGGATTCTTGCTTCTATTGCAGAAGAGTTACTTTCCAGGACTTCAAAGGTTTAGAGAAGCTGCTTGATTCGTGTGGCTTGCAGAGGTGCATGGGCTTTGGAGTCACGAAAAGTTAATCCTGGTCCCAGCCCAGCCTCTTAGTAGCTGTGAGGCTTTGCACAACTTCCTTGTCTTGGAAAGTTATATAAACCTCATCTGCAAGAAAAGGCATGATACTGATTGCAAAAATGGCAGCAACTCTTCATCCCTTCCTGTATTTATGCCCTTTGTGATGTGCTTTTATAGCTGCTTTCATTGAGAGGCAGAATCTGTTTCCCAAACCTTGAATCTCACTGGCCTTATTTGCTCTGGCAGTAGAAAGCTGTGAATATGACCATGTGCCAGTTTGGGGCCGAGGCACAAAAGCTCTTGAATGCTTCTGCTTTTTATTTCACAACCCTGTCATCTCCATAATAACAAGTCCATGTTAGCCTGCTAGAGGATGAGATACTATAGGGAGGAAAACCAAAGTGCCACAGTTGACAGGCAGCTCACCCTCAGAAGCAGCATTGCCTAGTCAACCAGCAGCTGACCACACGTGCCTGAAAGGGCCCAGCAGAGACCAGAAGAATGGCTCACTTGAGCCCAGCCTAGAAGGTGGACCAGCTCAATCTAATACGTTTTGGGGAATTTTACTGTGAAGCAATAGGTAATACGTACACCTAGTGCAGACAGGATGCCAGGATTCAATGACATGTTGATTGCAATTTACCAGGCAAACACAAGGCACCCTGTATGTACTGATTTCCTTTTCCCTTTATGTAAAGTTGGATTTCTGGTTAGACGGTGTTGAGCCATACAGAAGTGCACGTAGACATGCATGTGATTTGTGCTTAAACTCACACACTTAAATTCCACACCACAGGAGGAAACAGAAAACCACAGCCTGACCATTAGGGCCAAAGCCAAATTGCAAAATGAGAAGTTTGTCTTTAATGTATTCCCTCTACATCTAAAGTCCTGAGGTTAAGGCTGTGGACAAATCTGAAGACATGGGTTTTCTTCTCCTGGGGCCCCTCATCTTTTTTTCACTGTCTTATCTATAGAAGAGGCTGGGCCCCTGGCAAGAGCAGGTGGGAAATAGTAGACTCCCTCTAGATACTTCTTTATTGCAGCCCACTTCTCTCTCTGGGCACTGTCTCTGCCACCCTTGGGCCTGAGGAGAGATGTTAGCAGAAGGAGGGCATTCCCTCACCTCTAGCAGAAAAGAGGGGTTCGGGCCCTTCACTCCCTGAGGTCAGGGGAACCAGAGCCCTCAAAACTGCACTTCAGTGTGACAGTCATTGCCCACAGGGGTCTACTTAGCACCTAGAATGTGGCTGGTCTGAATCGGTACATGCTGGAAGTTTAAAACGCAGAGTGACTTTGAAAGATTTAGTACCAAAAAACAGAACAACAAAAAATACTTCATTAATATTATATTTATCATATATTTAAATTATAATATTTTGTATATATTGAGTTAAATAAAGTATTGCAATCAATTTTACCTGTTTATTCCTCGTTTCTGTTGCTACTAGAAATTTTAAAATGACACCTGTGGCTCACATGTGATTTCTGTGGAAATCGCAGCCTTGGAGGATTGCTTCCCTTTTCAAAACTCGGGCTCCTCAGACTGCTTCCTCAGAAGACCAGAGGCCATGAAGGTTAATAAGTCTGAAATTTTAAAAGAATTATTATTATATTGTTTCCTATTTTAAATATCATATATATTATTCACAAATGAATGTAACATTGTATACAAGGTTAAGTGTATATAAATGAATGTCCCCTAGGCAAGGCTGGGTCCCAACCCAGAGAGGAAACCCTCTTGGAGAAGAGCTGTAGCCAGAACGCTGCCTCATTCAGACACGCGCGGGAGCTGTCACCTGTCACTAAGAGTCTGAGGGGGCGGGGCCTGAGGCCCTACCCAATCAGGGGCACCGGGGCGGGGACTGCCTAATCCGGCGCTCCGCTAGAAAACCCGAGGCGGCTTCCGGGTGTGCCCGGCCTTTGTCTCTCGTGCCCGCACGTGCGTGTCTCGGTCAGTAGCCCTGCGCTTCTCCTTCACTCTCGGCGGTTCAGGAGGCTCTGCCGCAGCCGGGGCCCTCCTGTGACCTGCATGTACTGGGGGATTCGCAGGGAGGATGTCGGGACACCCCGGAAGCTGGGAAATGGTGAGTTGCGCCGCCGGGGGTCTGGAGAAGGGAAGGGGCTGTGGCGGCCCCGGGCCCCGGGCTCCCAGCGGTCGGCTCCCGAGGGCGGACCCGGGTCCCTGCTGGCGCGGCGCGGCGCGGCCCTCGGTCCTTTCTGGCGCCCGGCAGAGCTGGGCGGGCAGCGGCACCCCGGGCTCCGGTCCCGTCTCTGCACCGCGACTTCCGTCCTGCCCGAAGCAGCTTCCCTCCCCGGCCCGCGCCCGCAGCCCCGCGGCTCCTCGGGATCCTGCAGTGAGACCCGAGGCGCCTCAGGGGAGAGGCCCAGCGCGGTGTGCGGGCTCGCGCCTGCGAGGAGCTGTGGCCACTGGCGTTTCCAGTCCCTCCTTAATCCTGTTAAAAATTAAACTGAGGTTTAATTAAAGCGTTACAGAGTTTGAGCAAACAGCGATTCATGAGTAGGGGAGCACCCAGCCACGGTTTTTGGTTTGTGGGCCACCGGACGGTCTTGATGGAAAGGCTTCTGTAAAGTGTGTAAGGAAACAAACCAAATTTATTTATTTTTTATTTTAATGATCGGGTGGGGCGGGGGGGGGGTCTCCCTGTGTTGCCCAGGCTGGTCTTGAACTTCTGGTCTCAACCTCCCGAAGTGCTGGGATTACCCCGCCCAGCCCAAAGCAACCCCAATTTAATAACTGATTGGTTATAATTATGTAGTTCTGTTATTCGGATTATTTAGGTGGATGGTTCCTGGTTATGTAATCAGAGGTAAATTGCTGATTTGGGGTTAAGTTTTCTTTCCCTTCAAGTTAATTACAAGAAAGGCATGAAGTACCTTTAGGTTTTCTTGGTGAGGAACTCAGGGCACCATCATCACTTAAGGGAGGAGACCACCCCTCATATTGTCTTATGCCCAATTTCTGCCTCCAAAGAAAGAAGAAGTAAAAACTAAAAGGCAGAAATGAAATCCACAGGCAGACAGCCCGGCGCCGCGTCCTGGGCCTGGTTACAGATTGACCCTTGACCTGACCGGTTGTGTTATCTATAGATTCCAGACATTGTATGGAAAAGCACTGTGAAAATCCCTGTCCTGTTCTGTTCCGTTCTGATTGCCGGTGCATGCAGCCCCCAGTTATGTACCCCCTGCTTGGTCAATCGATCACGACCCTCTCACGTGGACCCCCTTAGAGTTGTAAGCCCTTAAAAGGGACAGGAATTGCTCACTTGGGGAGCTGGGTTTTTGGAGACGTGAGTCTTGCCAAAGCTTCCGGCAGAATGAAGCCCTTCCTTCTTTAACTCGGTGTCTGAGGGGTTTTGTCTGCAGCTTGCCCTGCTACAACTTCAGTCTAATTTCTTCCTATTTAATTATTTCCACAAGGGTACTGGTTTCCCCTGCATTTCCCAAATGTAAGGCAAGCAGGGTCTCAAATCCATGACCGTATTCCCCAGCCTAACTTCTAGAACTTGCAGTAAAATTCTAAATTTCCAGTTTCTTCCTCATACTCTCAAACTCCAACTTCACCTCTCCAATTTACAACATTATTAATTATTTGTTCTTTATTGTGCATTTGAACCAGATGCAGTAATGTAATTGTTTATCATGTTTTCACTGAGCAGTGAGGAGCTGTTTCTGAACATTCCTTGTGAAAACAGAGAATAATCACCTGATCTAGTCCACTATAAAAAATTCTTTGTACCTCTCCTCCTTTTGTCTTCCCTAGGCACACTCACAAACGTCTTTGGATGGAGGTTTCCCTTTGGAACCTTCACGTGGTGTTGTGTCCTCAGCCACCCTCCTGTCTTTTCTGGGTCCTGGGTTCAAAACTGTTTGAGGATGACCTAATGTGCCCACACTGGCCCTGTCTCTTGGAGTGTCATAAATAGTGAATGTCAGCTGTTGGGTCCTCTTCTCCCAGAAGACAAGGTGAGGTTTAGGGGTGGAGCCTCTCAGAGGAGCAGCTGGATGGCATGAATCCCCTGGGACCGAGAGGAGTCTCCTGGGATACTCTTCTATACTCTTCCTCTAAAAAGCTAATCCACTAGGACTTAGATTTTTTTTTCTTCTCTTACCCCCGTTATCACTCCTTAGAGACAAAATGCTGGTCAGGCAGTCGGATACTGGTATTGAGGGAAGAAAGAATTTCTGCCCTCTGGATTGTCTCATGCTTGTGAAGGGAGAACAGCTATTCCAAAGTACAAGGAAACCCCGCCCCGCAGTGAGGCAGGAACCTGAAAAGCAAAATGCATTTGGGGCACAGTGGGGACACGGCACAGGTTTCTGGGGGAGGGTGGGCATTGAGTACTTCCCTGAGCAGGATGGGGTGGGAGGACACAGTGGGGACACTGGGAGAGACACTGGTGTCATCCAATCCAATGCTGGTATTTTGAGGGAGAGACAGAAATGATTCCTGCCCTCTGGATTCTTTCACACTTGTGAAGGGAGAAAAACAACCTTAAAGAACAAGAAAATTTCTTCCCAGGAAGATGACACAAAAACCTGCCAAGCAAACTGCACCTTAGGCACACAGTGGGCCACAGTGCATTGCGCTGGGAGGTTGGTCCTTGAGTACGTGGTCTCTCCAATGAGGAGACCGGGGACCAGGGAATCTCCTGCTTGAGAGATGGTCTTACTTGACATGTGAGTCAAACATATCTGTGTTCCAGTTAGCGCTGCTCCTCCCTGGGCTGTCCTCTTGCAAAGCTTTGTTCATTTATTGGTGCCTTAGGTAAACATAAAATGTATTTCATCAATAGAGCTTTAAAGATAAAATATTTACAAAGAGGCAAAGAAAGAAGTGGATATTTTAAATATATGTAGATATTTTAAATCCACTTTATATATATATTTAGTTTTTTAATTAAAAAAATTTTTAATGTTATATCAATACATTTGGGGTAGCAGGTGGTTTTTGGTTACAAGGATAAGCTCTCTAGTGGTGATTGCTGAGATTTTGGTCCTGTCACCTTATCAGTGTACGCTGTACCCAATATGCAGTCTCACCCCCTCCCACCCTTGCCCCCAAATCACCAAGGTCCATTATATCATTCTTATGCCTTTGTAACCTCATAGCTTAGCTCCCACTTATAAGTGAGAACATAGAATATTTGGTTTTCCATTCCTGAGTTACTTCACTTAGAATAATGCCTCCATTTCCATCCAAGTTGCTGCAAAGCCCATTATTTCATTCCTTTTTATGGCTGAGTAGTATTCCACCACATTTTCTTTATCCCCTCATTGGTTGATGGGCATTTTAGGTTTGTTTCATATTTTTGCAGTGGCAAATTGTGCTACTGTTAACATGCGTGTGCAAGTGTTTTTGTTTGTTTGTTTTTTAATTGAGACAGAGTCTCACTCTGTTACCCAGGCTGTAGTGCAGTGGCACGATCTTGGCTCACTACAACCTTCCGTCGCCTGGGTTCAAGGGATTCTCATGCCTTAGCCTCCCAAGTAGCTGGGACTACAGGCATGCACCATCACGCCCAGCTAAATTTTTTTTGTATTTTTAGTAGAGACAGGGTTTTGCCATGTTGGCCAGGCTGGTATCGAACTCCTGATGTCAGGTTATCCACCTGCCTCAGCCTCCCAAAGTGCTGGGATTGCAGGCATGAGCCACCACGCCCAGCCGTGTTTTTTTCATATAATGACTTCTTTTCCTTTGGGTACATACCCAGTAGTGGCATTGCTGGATTGAATGGTAGTTCTACTTTTAGTTCTTTAAGGAATCTTCATACTGTTTTCCATGGCGGTTGTACTAGTTGACACTCCCATCAGCAGTGTAGAAGTGTTCCCTGTTCACCACATCCACACCAGCATCCCAGCATCTATTGTTTTTTATTTTATGATTATGGCCATTCTTACAGGAGTAAGGTGGTATCTCATTATGGTTTTAATTTGCATTTCCCTGATAGTGATGTTGAGCATTTTTTCATATTTATTGGCTATTTGTATATCTTCTTTTGAGAACTATTCATGTCCTTTGCCTACTTTTTTGATGGAATTTTTTCTTGCTGATTTGAGTTTTTTGTGAATTCTGGATATTAGTCCTTTGTAGGATGCATAGTTGGTGAAGATTTTCTCCCACTCTGTGGGTTGTCTGTTTACTCTGCTGATTATTTCTTTTGTTGTGCAGAAGCTTTTTAATTTAATTAGGTGCCATTTGTTCATTTTTGTTTTTGTGCATTTGCTTTTGGGTTCTTGGTCATGAGTTCTTTGCCCAAGCCAATGTTTAGAAGAGTTTTTTTGATATATTTTATTTTCATTCCCCTGAGTGTATGTGGTAACTTTTTGAGGTCTCGTCTCTTCTTT
Source organism: Homo sapiens (assembly GCF_000001405.40). NCBI lineage: Eukaryota > Metazoa > Chordata > Mammalia > Primates > Hominidae > Homo > Homo sapiens. Next base: position 247,167,565 of record NC_000001.11, on the reverse strand, counting down.
TGGGTAGTTTCAAATGAAATTCTAGGGCTTTTAATCAGGAATGCTACCAGGGAAGAGAAATAGGAAAAATCTCTCTTCCTTTATGATTACAGAAAGTGAATACATTTCCACACACAAAAGTGTGGTACATAAATTGGTGAATTACAAAAATTAACCAAAACATCAGTTTGTTTCCTGCAGGATGAAGAATTTGTTAGAGTGGGTAAGTCTGTGCTGTTTTCTGTTGCCTGCATTTGGCACATTAATGCTAAATCTGTACAGCAACCTTGCCCGATCACTGTGGCCAGGATTTCCAATACTGTGTTGAATGGGAGTGATAAAAGCAGAGGTTCTCTACCGCTCTTTCCTGATCTTGGGAGAAAAGGGTTTTTTTGCTTGTTTGTTTTGGTATTTCAGCATTGATGGTGATGTTAGTGCTGGTTTTTCATACTGTAGTTTCCTTGTAGTCCTAGTTTATTGTGTATTTTTATCATGAGTGGGTCTTAATAATTTGCCAAATACTTTTCCTGCATCCGTTGCAATAGCTACGATATTTCAGTCATTTTGCAAATGTCATACATTACACTGATTGATTTTTCATATATTGAACCATTTTATTTTAGGGATAAATCTCACTTGGTTTTGGTGTATAATCCTTTTACTGTGCTGCTAAATATGGCTTGTGAGTACTTAAGTGAGGATTTCTGCGTTAGTATGATGCTAAATATGGTTTGTTGGTATTTAAGTGAGGATTTCTGCATTAATAGTTATAAAGAACATTTGTAGCTTGTTGTAGTGTCTGTCCAATTTAGGGGTTCTGATTACTACATCAATGTCATATAACTGTGAGTCTGTTTAGATTTTCTAATTCTTCATGATTCATTCTTGGTACACTGTGTGTTTCTAGACATTTGTTCACCTCATCAATGTTATCCAACTTGCTGGTGTGCCCTTAGAGACTTTTTACATAAGATTTAAGACACAGATTTCTTTTATATGTGTTTTACTCTTATTGTATATGTATTCTGCTTATTTTGTAAATGTTTATTTTAGGTTCAGGGGTACATGTACACAATAGCAAATACATGGAATCAACCTAAATGCCCATCAACAGTAGACTGGACAAAGAAAATGTGGTATATACACATTTGTGAATAATGCTACAGTGAACCTATGCATGCATATTTCTTTATGGTAGAATGATTTCTATTTCTTCGGATATATACTCAATAAATGGGATTGCTAGGTTGAATGGGAGTTCTGTTTTAATTTCTTTGAGAAATCACCACACTGCTTTCCAAAATGAGTGAATTGAATTCCCACCAGCAGTGTATAAGCATTCCCTTTTCTCCACAACCTTACCAGCATCTGGTTTTGTTTTGTTTTGTTTTCACTTTATTATTTTTTTGAGGCAGTGTCTTGCTCTGTCACCCAGGCTGGAGTGCAGTGGCACGATTTTGGCTTACTGCAGCCTCTGCCTCCTGGGCTCAAGCAGTCATCCCACCTCAGCCTCACGAGTAGCTGGGACTATGGGCATGTGCTAACAGGCCCGGCTAATTTTTTTATTCTTTCTTAGAGACAATGTCTCACTATATTGTCCAAGCTGGTCTCGAACTCCTGGACTGAAATAATCCTCCTGCCTCAACCTCCTGAACTGCTGGGATTACAGGCATGAACCACCCTGCCCAGGCTATTTTTTGAGTTTTTAGTAACAGCATTATGACTGGTATAAGATGGTATCTCATCGTGGTTTTAATTTGCATTTCTTTAGTGATGAGTGATAATGTTCATTTTTCTCATGTTTGTATATCTTTTGAAAAGTGTTCATGTCCTTTGCCCACTTTTTAATGTTTCATTCTTGTTTCCTCTTTGCTTGTTAATTTATTTAAGTTTCTTACAGATTCTGGATATTAGACCCTTGTTAGATGCATAGTTTGCAGATATTTTCTCTCACTTTGTAGGTTCTCTGTTTAATCCCGTTAGTTTGTTTTGCTGTGAAGAAGTTCTTTAGTTTAATTATGTCCCATTTGTCAACTTTTTCTTTTGTGGCAGTCGCTTTGGGCATCTTCATCATGAAATACTTGCCAGGTCCTATGTCCAGAATGGTATTTCCTAGGTTATCTTCCAGGGTTTTTTTATCTTTAAATTTTTACATTTAAGTCTTTAATGCATCTAAAGTTTATATTTGTATATGGTGTAAGGAAGGGGTCCAGTTTCAATCTTCTGCATGTGGCTAGCCAGTAATCCTAGCACCATTTATCGAATAGGAAGTCCTTTCCTCATTATTTGTTTTTGTTGATTTTGTCAAAAATCAGATGGTTGGCCAGGCGCAGTGGCTCACGCCTGTAATCCCAGCACTTTGGGAGGCTGAGGCAGGTGGATCATGAGGTCAGGAGATCGAGACCATCCTCGCTAACACGGTGAAACCCTGTCTCTACTAAAAATACAAAAAATTAGCAGGGCGGGGTGGCAGGCGCCTGTAGTCACAGCTACTCGGGAGGCTGAGGCAGGAGAATGGCATGAACCGGGGCAGCGGAGCTTGCAGTGAGCCGAGATTGTGCCACTGCACTCCAGCCTGGGTGACAGAGCAAGACTCCGTCTCAAGAAAAAAAAAAAAATCAGATGGTCGTAGGTGTGTGGCATTATTTCTGGGCTTTCCATTCTGCTCCATCAGTCTGTCTGTTTTTATACCATTACCATGCTGTTTTGGTTACAGTAGCTTTGTAGTATAGTTTGAAGTTGGTTAATATGATGCCTCCAAACTTTGTTCTTCTTGCTTGGCTATGTGGGATCTTTATTGGTTCCACATGAATTTTAAAATAGTTTTATCTAATTTGGTGAACAATGTAATTGGTAGTTTGATAGGAATAGCATTGAATCTAAATTGCTTTGGGTAGTTGGACCATTTTAGCAATATTAATTCTTCCTATCAATGAGCATGGAATGTTTTTCCATTCATTTGTATCATCTCTGTTTGTTTTGTTTTGTTTTTTTTTTCCCAGCAGCATCTTGTAACTCATTGTAGAGATCTTTCATCTCCTGGTTAGCTATATTCCTAGATATTTTATTCTTTTTGTGGCTATTGTGAATGGGATTGCCTTCCTGATTTGGCTCTCTGCATGGATATTATTCGTGTATAGAAATGCTCCTAATTTTTGTACATTTATTTTCTGTCCTGAAACTGTGCTAAAGTTGTTTATCAGGAGCTTTTCAACAGAGACTGTGGGGTTTTGGGGGGTATAGGATCATATCATTTGCAAACAGAGAAGTTTGATTTCCTGTCTTCCTATTTGGATGCATTTTATTTCAGTAGTATGTTAATAGGAGTGGTAAAAGAGGGCATCCTTGCCTTGTTCCAGTTCTCAAGAGGAATGTTTCCAGCTGTTGCCTATTCACTATGATGTTGGCTGTGGGTTTTTCATAGATAGCTCTTATTATTTTGAAGTATGTTTCTCCGATGCCTAGTTTGTTGAGGGTTTTTAACATGAAGGGATGTTGAAATTTATTTAAAGCTTTTTTTTGCATCTATTGAGATGATCATGTTGTTTTTTTGTTTTTAGTTTTGTTTATGTTGTGAATCACATTTATTGACTTGTATATATTGAAATGTTACATCCAAGGGATAATGCCTACTTAATCATGGTGGTGGAATAGGTTTTTGGTGTGTGCTGGATTTGGTTTGCTAGTATTTTACATCTGTGGATTTTTCATCTATGTTCATCAAGGATATTGGCCTGAAGTTTTCTTTTTCATTGTTGTATGCCTGCCATGTGTTGTATGCCTGCCAGGATGACGCTGGCTGTCATAGAATGAGTTAAGGAGTTTCTCCTCTTTAGTTTCTTAGAATAGTTTCAGAAGGAATGGTACCAGCTCTTCTTAATACATCTGGTAGAATTTAGCTGTGAAACCATCTGGTCCTGGCTTTTCTGTTTGATAGGTTTATTATTACTGATTAAATTTCAGAGCTCATTTTTCTGTTCAGGGATTCCATTTCTTCCTGGTTCAATCTTGGGAGGTTTTTTGTTTCCAGGAATGTATTCGTTTTTCTAGGTTTTCTAGCCTGTATGCATAGAGATGTTTGTAATAATAGCCTCTGAGGGATTTTTTTTTTTTTTAGTTTCTGTGAGTCTGGTGGTAATACCCTTTTTGTCACTTCTGATTGTGTTTATATGGATCTTCTCTCCTTTTCTTTATTAGTCTAGCTAGCAATCTATCTTATTTCAAAAAATTGACTCCTGAAGTTGTTGATCTTTTGCTTTTTTTTCTCTCTCTCTTCAATTTATCTCTGATTTTGGTTTTTTTGTCTTCTGCTAGCTTTGGGGTTGGTCTGCTCTTGTTTCTTTAGTTCCTCTAAGTGTAATGTTAGGTTGCTAATTTGAGATCTTTTCAAAGTTTTTGATGTGGGCATTTAGTGCTATAAAATTTCCTCTTAACACTGCCTTAGCTGTGTTCCAGAGATTCTTGTATGTTTGTTCTTATTAGTTTCAAATAATTTCTTGGTTTCTACCTTAATTTCATTTTTTTCTTTTGATTTGTTGAGGATTGTTTTATGGCTGAATGTGTGGTTGATTTTAGAGTATGTGCCATGTGCAGCTGAGAAGAATGTATATTCTGTTGTTTTTTGGTGAAGAGTTCTGTAGGTGTCCATTAGGTCCATTTGGTGAAGTGTTGAGTTCAGATCTCAAATATCTTTGTTAGTTTTCTGCCTTTATGATCTAATACCATCAGTGGGGCATTGAAGCCTCCCACTGTTAACTCTGTGGTTAAGTCTCTTTGTAGGTGTGTAAGAATTTGCCGTATGAATCTGAGTGCTCTTGTGTTGGGTGCATACGTATTTAGGATAGTTAGGTCTGCTTGTTGGATTGAACCTTTTACCAATATGTAATACCCGTGTCTTTTTTTGTTTTTGGTTTAAAGTCTGTTTTATCTGAAATTTGACTAGTAATCCCTGCTTTTTTTTTTTTTTTTGCCAAGGGTTAATATATTTTATATATAAGTAAAGATATACAGTCATACATTGCTTAATGTGTTGTTAGGCAGTTTTATAGTGAGAACATAATAGCGTGTACTTACGCAAACCTAGATGGCATAATATACCACACACCTAGGCTATATGGTATGGCCTATTGCTCCTAGATTTACTTTTTTCTGTTTTCCATTTGTGTTGTAGATTTTTCTCTATCTCTTTACTTTGAATGTGTGGGCGTCATTGCATGTGAGATGGGTCTCTTGAAGACAGCATACGATTGGTTTTGTTTCTCTATCCAGCTTGTCATTTTGCCTTTTAATTGGGGCATTTAGCCCATTTACATTCAAGGTTACTATTCATATGTGTAGATTTGATCTTGTTATTGTGTCGTTAGCTAGTTATTATGCAGACTTGTTTGTATGCTTGCTTTATAGTGTCACTGGTCTATGTACTTACGTGTGTTTTTGTGGTGGCTGTTAATGATCTTTCCATATTTAGCACTACCTTTAGGAACTCTTATAAGGCAGATCTAGTGGGAACAAATTCTCTTAGTAGTTGCTTGTCTGAAAATGATTATGAAGCTTCTTTTGGCTGGATGGGAAATTCATGGTTGGAATTTCTTTTCCTTAAGAATGCTGAATATAAACTCTGATAATGCACAATAAATTTTCTGGACATTAGAGAAAAATTACTGGACTGTAGATTGTGGTAAAGTTCAAATTACTGGAAATAGCAATGGAGTATATCCACTGCCTTGGCCTTCATTTCTGCGTATTTATTTGGTGTGGTAATCACCACTTGAGATTCTCTAATTTTTGTTCTTCTAAAGAATGTGGACTATTATTTACTATTATTATTATAGTAATATGCCATATTATTTGGCTGTTTTATTACCAAGAAAATGGATCTCTTTCCATAAATGGTCTTTTTTCTTGTTATGTATCTTTTGCTTTTTTTTCCCATTTTTTAATCATGTTTTCATTCATTTTTACTGTGCACACTAATTTCTTTTATATTGCATGTATTGCAGATTTTTATTTTACTGTTTTTTGTCTTTTAATTCTCCTAATTTTAATATATTTGAATTTGTCAGTCTCTATTGTTTGCTCCTTTTCTCCTATTCATATGTCAAAAAAAACCTTGTCTGTGACTTCTGCAAGTGGTCTATTTATACTTTTTACTTTTGAATATATGACAAATTGATTATTGTCCAACTAATAGAGGTCAATGCAATTCATTTTTTTCCCAATTAAATACCGGTTAGCTTTGTTCCATGTTTAAAGTGCTTGATACTTCCTTCACTATCCTACAATGCCTCCTCTGTTATTAGTCAGCTTTCCATATCAATTCCAGCTAATTAAAGACTATATGCCTTTCTCTTGGCCTAGTTCTTTATCTCTCTGCTTATACTACACTGCCCTGAATATTATATTTGAAAATCATTGATGTGTATTAGGCAAACCATCACACTGTTATTCAGAAGACTTTGACGGTTGTTAGGCGTTTGTTATTTCTGTAGGTTTTGAAAAGTAGTTTCTGCTGAACTGCTAGAAAGTCTGTTTCAGGCATCTATGAAATTTTACATAAATATCATTTGTAAGAGGTGACATCTAGATGACATTGAGTTTTTTTCTTTGAACGCATGCCTTTTCACTTATTCTATTCTGCTTTGACATTTTTCAGTAGAAATTGTAAAATAATTATTTTTGGATTATTGAATATTGATTATTAGTGTTAATTACCTCTTGATTAAATTTGGGCTTGAGTGAAGCACTTATAAGCTTCTACACATTTTCTCTTTGTGTAACCACGTGGATTGGGCTCAATTTCCCAATTAAAAAGTTGTGACATCATATATGAAATATTATCTACCAGGGAAGCTCATCAGATACTCAGTGCTCAGAGTGTGTTTTTGTTTGTTTATTGAGGCTGATCCCCCTAGGCACCACTGCTACAATAAAACAAAATAATAGACTTTTGGAAGGAAAACAGGGGTTCAGCAAATACCAGATTGTTTAGATAAACTATTTAGCAACAGTGAGCTACTTTTATCACTTAGGTTGTTGGGATGCCTCTTAAAATGTAAGTTCCCTCATACCAGCAAAGGTTGAACTTTGTAGCAGGTATTTCTAAGGGTAAGTAGTCTTGTGACGGCTCATATTAACTCTCTTATGCACACCAGATAGTAAGACTTTGATATGATATGTACTGCAGGTATATGCTATAAAGAAAAATCATAACAGCAAATATTACTCCCTGGACCCACCAACAAGAAGGGTGTTCCTTCTCTGCTGCTGCCTTGCTGAACAGTTCAACTTTAGCATAAGAACTGCTGGCTGAGCGCGGTGGCTCACGCCTGTTATCCCAGCACTTTGGGAGGCCAAGACAGGCAGATCACGAGGTCAAGAGATCGAGGCCATCCTGGCCAACATGGTGAAATCCTGTCTCTACTAAAAATACAAAAATTAGCTGGGCGTGGTGACATGTGCCTGTAGTCCCAGCTACTTGAGAGGCAGAGGCAGGAGAATCACTTGAGCCTGCGAGGCGAAGATTGCAGTGAGCTGAGACGGTGCCACTGCACTCCAGCCTGGCAACAGAGTGAGACTCCGTCTCAAAAAAAAAAAAAAAAAAAAAAAAAGAACTGCTATGTGGGAGAAAGGAAGTGTAGACAGAGTCATAGTTCTAGTGACCAAATAGTAGAATAAATGTTCGCCACAGAATCAGATGAACATCTTATAAATTGACTACAGATTTCCAGTGCTTTCAGTCTCATCCATCCTCTACAAAAATGTGGAATATTTTAGAACTCGGTTGCCTTTGAGGATGTGGCTGTGAACTTCACCCAGGAGGAGTGGGCTTTGTTGGATCCTTCCCAGAAGAATCTCTATAGAGACGTGATGCAGGAAACCTTCAGGAATCTGGCTTCCATAGGTAAGAATCACAATATTTCTTCACTTAGTCAATCAGAAAGTAAGTGTTTCATGGTTTTCAATGTCATTCCATGATTTGGAATGTACAAAGGGAACACTTTGATGAGTGAATGAGGCATGGACCCAGTGTGCAATGACTCTTGTTTCTTAGTCTATTTTTTAATTGTGATAACAGAATACCTGATCCTGGGTAATTTACAAAAATAGTTTTATATTGGTTTATGATTCTAGTGGCTAGAAAGTCCAAGGTTGCATCTGGTAAGGACCTGATGCTACTTCAGCTCAGGGCATGAAGCAGAAGCAAGTGGGCATGTGCAAAGGGATCACAGCAAGAAAATAAGAGCAATTCTTGGGAGCTAAACTTGCTTTTATAACAACCTGCCCTCTGGCAACTAATTCAGTCTTGCAAGAGTAAGAGAAAACATGCATTCCCAAGCAAGGACATTAATCTATTAATAAGGAATCTGTACCCATAACACAAACAATGTTGCCATATTGATGACCAAATTACAGCATTCATTTTGGTGGGTACAAACCATATCCCCAACATAGCACCTAGAGTCTAGTAATTTTTCTATAATTTCAAATAATTTGTAATATATTTCTGGGTCTACATTTTAGGAAACAAAGGGGAAGACCAGAGCATTGAAGATCAGTACAAAAATTCTTCAAGAAATCTAAGGTAATTTGCCCTCACAAGAGGAAGCAGTCCCCCTTGGGGTCAATTGTAGTATATAATCATATGTTTAAAGCAAACAAGGCCAGGCATGGTGGCTCACACCTGTAATCCCAGCACTTTGGGATGCTGAGGTGGGCGGATCACCTGAGGTCAGGAGTTTGAGACCAGCCTGACCAACACGGCAAAAACCCGTCTCTACTAAAAATACAAAATTAGCCCAGTGTGATGGTGCATGCCTGTAATCCCTGCTGTTTGGGAGGCTGAGGCAGGAGAATTGCTTGAACCTGGGAGGCGGAGGTTGCAATGAGCTGAGGTTGTGCCATTGCACTCCAGCCAGGGAAACAAGAGCAAAACACCATCTCGGGGAAAAAAAAAAACCAAGCAAACAAAATAAATTAAGACAACATCAATTTATTCTCAAAGTTTTTACCAAAAATATATACTTCAATGTAACATGGATGTTAAATGTTTGCAAAATAGTTCACTTGAAAACAGTATTGTTTTAGTCTGCTTGCATTGCTATAAAGGAATACCTAGGCTGAGTAATTTATAAGGAAGAGTTTTATTTGGCTAATGGTTCTGCAGGCTTTATCAGAAGCATAAAGCCAGCATCTGCTTCTGATGAGGACCTCAGAGAGCTTCCAGTCATGGCAGAAGGGGAAGGGGAGCTGACATGTCACATGGGGAGAGAAGGAGCAAGAGAGAGAGAAAGGAAGTGCCAAAGTTTTTGGGGTTTTTTTGTTTTGTTTTGTTTTGTTTGAGATGGAGTCTCTCTCTGGTATCCAGACTGGAGTGCAGTGGTGCAGTCTTGGCTCACTGCAACCTCCGCCTCCCGGGTTCAAGTGATTCTCCGGACTCAGTCTCCCAAGTAGCTGGGATTACAGGAACATGCCACCACACCCAGCTAATTTTTGTATTTTTAGTAGAGACAGCATTTCACCATGTTGGCCAGGCTGGTCTTGAATTCCTGACCTCAAGTGATCTGCCCACCTTGGCCTCCCAAAGTGCTGGGATTACAGGCGTGAGCCACCATGCCCGACCATTTTTTTTTTTTTTTTAACAATCGGATCTTTCAGGAACTAATAGAGCGAGAAGTCACTCATTACCACAACAGTGCCACTTATGTGGAATCTGCTCCCATGACCCAAGCACCTCACACCAGGTCATACCTCCAACATGAGGATCAAATTTCAGCATGAAATTTGAAGGGAGAAAATACCCAAACTGTATTCAATACTAAGAAACTGCATATGAGAATATTACTGTATTGTTAATAGCTATAGGGGAGGGAGCCATGTTGTAGACTAATCAATCCATTTATGTTCAATTTGTTTATGTTAGAAAACCTGCACTTTCTCTGATATTGGTAGCAGTGTAAGTTCAGACTTAGTAATAAAAGAAAATAACTAATAAACCATTAATGATGGGGTTGTCATTTTTTGCAGAAGTCATATGATAGACATACTGTGTAAAATTAAATAAGTCAGTGTAGAAAAACCTCCAGATGCCAAATTTTAATCTGAACAAAAAAATTCCTGCTAGAGTAAAACCACATGAATGCATTGTGTGTGAAAAATTCTTCATACGTCATTCATCCCTTCATAGGCACATCATATCTCATTCTGGAAACAACCCATATGGGTGTGAGGAATGCGGAAAGAAGCCATGTACATGTAAACAATGTCAGAAAACTTCCCTTTCTGTCACAAGGGTTCACAGAGACACAGTAATGCACACTGGAAATGGACATTATGGTTGTACAATATGTGAGAAAGTTTTTAATATTCCCAGTTCATTTCAGATACATCAGAGAAATCACACTGGAGAGAAACCCTATGAATGTATGGAATGTGGGAAAGCCTTAGGTTTTTCCCGTTCTCTTAATAGACATAAAAGGATTCACACTGGAGAAAAACGCTATGAATGTAAGCAATGTGGGAAAGCCTTCAGTCGTTCCAGTCACCTTCGTGACCATGAAAGAACTCATACTGGAGAGAAACCCTATGAATGTAAGCACTGTGGGAAAGCCTTCCGTTACTCCAATTGCCTTCATTACCATGAAAGAACTCACACTGGAGAGAAACCTTATGTGTGCATGGAATGTGGCAAAGCTTTCAGTTGTCTCAGTTCCTTGCAAGGACATATAAAGGCTCATGCTGGTGAAGAACCCTATCCATGTAAGCAATGTGGGAAAGCCTTCAGATACGCCAGTTCCCTTCAGAAACACGAGAAAACTCATATTGCACAGAAACCCTATGTATGTAACAATTGTGGTAAAGGCTTCAGATGTTCCAGTTCCCTTCGTGACCATGAAAGGACTCATACTGGAGAGAAACCCTATGAATGTCAGAAATGTGGCAAAGCCTTTAGTCGTGCTAGTACCCTTTGGAAGCATAAAAAAACTCATACTGGAGAAAAGCCCTATAAATGTAAAAAAATGTAAAGGCTTTAATCACTACAGTTTTTGTCAAAAACATGAACAGTCACATACTTGAGAGAAACTGTGAATGTAAGGTGTAGGAAAGTACTTAATTTTCCCAGATTTCCTCAAATACATGAAACGAATCAAACTGGAGATAAACCCTATGACTATAAGCAATAAGGTAAAGCATTCAATTTTTCCATTTCTTTTTGAAAACTTGAAAGGACTCACTGAAGAAAATCCATATGAATGTTTAAAATGTGGTAAGGCCTGCAGTTGTTCCAGTGGTATTTGATGGTATAACATAACTCATTCTAGAGAAAAACTTTATGAAGGTATCGAATGTGAGAATGCCTTCATTTATCCTATAACTCACTCAGAGACACATGGTAACACATACTCCAGATTGACCTTATAAATAAAAGAATGCCCACCAGATTGAAATCCTAGAAATACAGAAAATTCTGAATTTTAACAATTACTTTAAAGGTCATGTGAAAACTCCCACTGGAAATAAATCCTGTAAATGTAAATATTATGGAAAACCTTATGGAAAATAATTATAGTACAATTCTCAAGAAAATTCACTATGTGAATGAGATGTTTTAGGAGCTATAAATAAATTGAATATATTGGTTGCTCATTTTTGAAGAGAGTCTCTAGAATATAGATTTTCACTTCTTTTGAAAAAAAAAAAATTGAGGTGAGACTTTTTTTTTTTTTTTTGAGATGGAGTCTCACTTTGTCGCCCAGGCTGGTGTGCAGTGGCACAATCTCAGTTCACTGTAAGCTCTGCCTCCCAGGTTCACGCCATTCTCCTGCCTCAGCCTCCTGAGTAGCTGGGACTACAGGTGCCTGCCACCATGCCCAGCTAATTTTTTGTATTTTTAGTAGAGATGGGGTTTCACCGTGTTAGCCAGGATGGTCTCAATCTCCTGACCTCGTGATCCGCCCGCTTCAGCCTCCCAAAGTGCTGGGATTACAGGCGTGAGCCACCACGCCCAGCTGAGGCAAGACTTCTGTAAGTATTCTTCAAGCAGTAGTACAAGAGTTAAATATGTATTCTTCTTTTTTAAGCTGGTAAATAAATTTCCTTTTTCTACCCATTTTAAAGTGTGTTGGTTATATGGGTAAATTGAAATGTATTTCTTTTCCTTTTTTCTTGCATAGCCATTTTAAAAAATATTTTTTAAATATTTAAAGTATAAAATATTTTTAAAATTTTTTAAAAATTTTGTGGGTTACACAGTAGATGTGTGAAATGTATTTGTAGGTTTAACTTCTGTGTAGTTTAATTATTTTGTTATTAATTGGCCATTGATAAATGAGTCTATTTTCTTTGCTAATAGAGTTGCTGTCAATTTGTAAGTATGTAAAGTTTATTATAGAGTATATTCTCACGTGAATTATTATTTTCATCTGTTGTTCTTTACATTGTCATTATTTTTGGCTATTTGCATAGGTAACATTGGTTTAAGGAGAGAGACCTGTGATCGAACAGTGTCTTGTGTCTAATCTGAGAAAGAAAGCATCCAGTCTTATCATCATGTATGATGTTAGCTGAGGGTTTTTAAAATAAATTCCTTAAAGCAGGTTGAGAAAGTTTCCTGCTGTTCATTATTATTGAATATTTCATTGTCAAGTGTTGTTGAAGTTTTTCTCATGGTTTTTGTGCATCTATTGGAATGATCTTGTGGTTTTTCAAATTTATTCTGTTAACATGGTATATCACATTAATTGACTTTCTAAAATAAGAAATTGGGTCTAACTTTGTCACCCAGGCTGGTCTCAAACTCCTGGGCTCAAGTGATTCTCCTGCCTTGCCCTCTCAAAGTGTTGGGATTACAGATGTGAGCCACTGTGCCCAGCCAAATTGACTTTTAGATGCAAAAACAACATTGCTTTTTTGGGGGGTTAAATCTCTCTTGGTAATGAAGTGTAAGTCTTCTTATATATTGGTAAATTCAGTTTTGTAGCATCTTTTGAGACATTTTGCATCTATATTGAAAGAAATTTGAGTACCCTAGCATAGTTTATAGTGCTATATACTATATAGTGTTATTTCATATATATGTAGTTTATTAGTTCATTCTTGAACTGCTATGAAGAAATTCCTGAGACTGGGCAATTTACAAAGGAAAGAGATTTAATTGACTCCCAGTTCAGCATGGTAGGGAGGCCTCAGGAAACTTACAGTCCTGGCAGAAGGTGAAGGGGAAGCAAGGCATCTTCACAAATTCACAAGGTGGCAGGAAGGAGAAGTACAAGCAGGGAAAATGCCAGATTCTTATAAAACCATCAGATCTCATGAGACTCACTCATTATCATGAGAACAGCACGGGGGAAACCGTCCCCATGATTCAGTTACCTCCACCTGGTCTTGCCCTTGACACGTGGGAATTATTACAAGTCAAGGTGAGATTTGGGTGGGGACACGGAGCCAACTTATATCTGTGTGTGTGTGTGTGTCACACATATGCGTGTACAAGGAGACATCCACTCTGGGGAGAATTAGGTATCTCAGACAGTTGCCTGACAAGTGATTGTTGTGTAGGAAAGCATAGTGACCTTGTGTTTTCTGTGCTGCTTTTTCTCTTGCTGCTGTTATGTGCACTCTTCTGATGAGGTGCATATCCATAGATCCTCATGATTTAGGTGCAGATGAGCAAAGACAAGGGAAATAATCACTTTATATTATCCTCTCCCAGTACCCCTCCCAGTACTAAACTCCTAGCCAAAGGGGGCTTTCGTTAGCATGGCTGCTCACCAGCATTCTAAAGATATAATCCTGTGACCACAAGACTTGATGAACTTAGACAAAATGACCTTCTTATGGACGCTAACTTCAGCAAGATTTAGTAGCCCTCACTGGAGGCTTAGGTGGTTTTCTCCACTGTGGGTTGCTGGGGTTCTGAACTCTTTCCCTTAATCACACAGATGGTCTACACTGTCTGTTTCCAGGTAGAGATAGTACCTGAAACCTGTAACTTTACATGAGTAGAAATCCGAAATGTTATAAGGCAATTGTTACAGCAAGAAAGGAAAAGACTAGTTATGTGATGTGCTCACATCCAGAAATCTAATAGCAGATGACTCACCAATCATAATAGAGCATGTCAGTTAAAGGCACTCCGTGACTTCAGTCCAGACAGGATCAAGTCCCCACTCTACTCCTGTCCAGTGTCTGAATTTAGACAAATGACTTACCCTCTCGATGTTTAAGTTCTCATCCTGATAATGGCAGCACCTACCTCACAGATTTGTGAAGAATAGAAAGTTACTACATGGCTGCTCATCACAACAGTGATGAATACATTGCAGGGACACTTTAACTGGTGTACATTTACATGTTGGAAACCTTTTAATAATTGAAAAAAATCAAGTAACATTTCTAAGGGTGAAACTAATGGTCAGTGCAGAGTATTGGATTTTATTTGACCTTTTTTTTTTTTTTGAGATGGAGTCTCACTCTGTTGCCCAGGCTGGAGTGCAGTGGCGCAATCTCAGCTTACTGCAACCTCCACCTCCCGGGTTCAAGCGATTCTCCTGCCTCAGCCTCCCGAGTAGCTGGAACTACAGGTGCCCGTCAGCACACCCAGCTAATTTTTTGTATTTTTAGTAGAGTTGGAGTTTCACCGTGTTAGCCAGGATGGTCTTGATCTCCTGACCTCGTGATCCGCCCGCCTTGGCCTCCCAAAGCTAGATAAGTAATTTTAAAATCCCTTAATCTTCTCAGAAGTACATGGGTTGTATATGTTTGTTCAGTGCTCATATGTTTATTCACTCATCTCCATAGAACTGTAAACATAATTACAAAATAGTAACATTACAAGAAACTGACAGTATATACTCACATACATAAATACATTATCTGGACATAACGGTGTGATTGTTTTTCTGTGTGACACCCAGATTATGCTTATCTATCAAGCAGTAATCCTGAAAAATTGCACATTAAGAATGTAAAAGCAATAGTAATTACAATGACAATGATTTACCATAAAGTCTATTATATTTAACATATCACTGTACTAGGTAATTCGTGGTTAATTTATCCAACTATATACAATCAGGTAATATTTGTCTTTAATAGGAATAATTAGTCTATTTTGTTGAATATTATAATGGATATATTTGGGACTGGGTTTATTGCGTTGCTGCGTTCACAATACCTACTCTGTTTTCTTTTTATCTTTTGTACTAAATTTTAATAGAATTCTACTTTTCCCTCATATATATATAATTACATATATAGTTATTTATTATATTTATTTATATTTTGTTTTATTTTTGTTTTTAACCTAGAAATTGTAGCTTACTTTTAAACACTGTCGCAGTGTCAAGCAACTTAATACCTGTGCCCTGTGGGCAGCAATACTCTATTTAGCATCCTTCAACTTAAAACAAAAATTCTTACATGTATTTAAAATATTTAAAGATACATGCACATGTCCTAAGTGGATAGCACCATATAGTTTTAAATATTGGGGACAGTTTTGTCTGAGGCTTTTTAGATCTTAAAAAAAAAAAAAGCGGGGGGTGGGGAACATTTTTAGCCCAAAGATACCACCAGATACCACCTTGTGATCCCAGTCACTTATTCTCAGGGATGGACACTATATTGATCTCTAACAGCATAGGTCACTTTCCTCTTTTATACTTTATATAAACATCATGCAGCAGGAGCCCTTTTGTACATGGCTTTTAAAATCCAGTAGGTTGTTTTGAGTTTTTCGGTAATTCTGCATGTTGTTTTGGTTTTTTTTTTTTAGCATTGAATTCTGTTGTGTGAATATCAGACAATTAATCACTCCGTGCTGATGCACATATGCATGTGTTTTAGTTGAGGGTATTAGGAACAGGGCTGCTATGTAAATTCCAGAAAATGTATTGGTATTGGTGAAACATGTACAAATTTCTGTTGGGAACATGTGTAATAATCACATTGTTGTGTTGTATGTTTACGTCTCTTCAGCTGTAGGTGATATTACCAGTTTTCCAAAATTGTACCACTTTTTACTTGTAACACTTTTCATGCCAACAAGTAACGTGTGAATTTCCTAGGGTACCCACATCCTTGCCAACACATGGTTTTTTTTTTTTTTTTTGAGACGGAGTCTCACTCTGTCACCCAGGCTGGAGTGCAGTGGCGCGATCTCGGCTCCCTGCAAGCTCCGCCTCCCGAGTTCACGCCATTCTCCTGCCTCAGCCTCCCGAGTAGCTGGGACTACAGGCGCCCGCCACCACGCCCGGCTAATTTTTTGTATTTTTAGTAGAGATGGGGTTTCACCATGTTGGCCAGGATGGTCTCGATTTCCTGACCTCATGATCCGCCCGCCTCGACCTCCCAAAGTGCTGGGATTACAGGCGTGAGCCACCGCGCCCAGCCCAACACATGGTATTTTCTGTCATTTTCATTTAGTCTTCTGGTTGCTGTGTGATGGTCTCAGGCTTTATTTACATTTCTCCGATTACTAACAGACTTGAACATTTCAGCACACTTTTTAGTTATTGAATAACCTCTATTTTGAAGACTTACTTTGCTCATCTCCCGCTATTTTAGGGCTCTTTTTCTTCTTGATTTATGGTGGTTCTTTACATGAAGCTGGATAGGATTCCTTTCTTTGGTATCTCTCTCACTCAGTCTCTCTCTTTCTGTATTTTAATAAGCTCTTAATTTTAATAAAATTTTATTTGTTATTTTTCCCAGTATATTAAATATTTTTTATTTAAGAAATATTTCTCTTAAGGCCACAGAGATTTTGTTTTTTAAATGAGGATGTATATTTAAATTTTTATTTTGCAATTCATTCATAATTGAGTGTTTTTGTGGCTAGGAATTCCATTTTTTCCAGTAAGCTAACAAAATATAATTTATTCTGTATTTTGATAAGGTCTTAATTTTAATAGAATTTTATTTGTTCTTTCCCCAGCATATTAAATGTTTTTTGTTTTATTTAAGAAATCTTTCTCTATTTTAAGGCCACAGAGATGCTGTTTTTGTTTTTTTAATCAGGATGTATATTTAAAATTTGATTTTGCAGTTGATTCAGAATTGAGATTTATGACTAGTAATTTTATTTTTTTCCAGTAAGCTAACAAAATATAATGAATTCTTTTTCATTTGCTGTCACCTGTCATTGTCTCACCCAAGTTAATATCTCACCCTCAGAGCTGACTTTTCTGTGAAGACTGTATAATTCTGTTATTTTCTTCATCTTTCAGTTTTCAGCAGCCCCACAGCACCAAAGAGTCAATGGTAGTTTTGGTCAGAAATCTTCAGTGGGCCTTTTTTGCTCAATGGATAAGTTATTTTCATATTTTATTTATTTGTATGTTTAATTTTAAAATATTAGTTGACAGATAATATTGGATATATTCAAGATATCTCCAAATACACATTGTGTGGTAATTGTTACAAAATCAGTATCATCTGCCGTGACTTAAAAGTTTGTCCTCCGCCTAAATTCATGTTGAAACTTTAAACTCCAAAACAATAGTGTTAACAGGTGGGGGCCTTTAGGAGGTGGTGAGGTCATAAAGGCTGTGCCCTCATCATTGAGATGAATGACTTCATAAAAGGACTTGAGGGAGTGAGTTCTGCCCTTTCTGCCCCTCTGCTGTCTGTGAACATAACATTCAGGATGTCATCTTGAAAGCAGAGACCAAGGTCTTCACCAGAGACAGTCTGCCAATGGCTTGATTTTGCACTTCCCAGCCTATATAACTGTAAGCAATTGAGTTTATGTCATGTATAAACTACCTAGTCAGGTATTTTGTTAAAGCAGCAGGAAGGGACTGAGACAACATCTATTGCCACCCGTGCTGTACATTAGAATGCCAGAACTTATTCATCTTATAACTGAAAGTTTGTACCTTTTCAGCAATGTCTCCCCATTTCCCCTACCTTCTGGCCCCTGGAAACCACTATGTAGTCTGTTTCTACGAGTTCAATGTTTTTAAGCTCCATCTATAAGTAAGATCATATAACATTTGTCTTTCTGTGTCTGACTTATTTTACTTAATATTCTCCAGCTTCATATTTTCACAAATGACTTTATTCTTTTTTATGGCTGAATAATATTTCATTGCGTGTGTGTATCACAATTTCTGTATCCATTCATCTATTAATGAGCATTTAGGTTGTTTCCGTGTCTTTGGCTATTGTGGAAAATGCTGCAATAAACCTGGGATTGCAGAAGTCTCTCTGAGATACTGATTTTATTTCCTTTGGATATAATCCCAGAAGTGGGCTTGCTGGATAATATGGTAGTTCTAGTTTAATATTGTGATGAGCCACCTTACGGTTTTTTATAATGGCTGTATCAATATTCTCATACATGTAAGGGAATGTTGCTCCCTTTTGGAAGACAATTCTTCATGGATCTCTCACTTCATTTTCCCACATCTTGTATAAGCGTTTCTTCTGGGCTGTCTTTTTCAGGATTTTTTTAAATGAAAGAAACAGACTTGAAGGATGTGTATCTTCAGGTCAAAGGCCAAATAAATACCTGGACAATTTAATAAAGATTATGCCTTTCTCTGAGGCAGTGGTTGGAAGGTTTTCTTTGAAACACATGTTAAAGCACTGGGATTTGTTTTTTTTTTCTTTTTTTTGAGACGGAGTCTCACTCTGTCACCCAGGCTGGAGTGCAGTGGCACAATTTCGGCTCACTGCAAGCTCCACCTCCTGGGTTCACGCCATTCTCCTGCCTCAGCCTCCAGAGTAGCTGGGCCTACAGGTACCCGCCACCACACCTGGCTAATTTTCTTTTTTTTTTTGTATTTTTAGTAGAGACGGGGTTTCACCGTGTTAGCCAGGATGGTCTCAATCTCCTGACCTCGTGATCTGCCCGCCTCGGCCTCCAAAAGTGCTGGGATTACAGGCGTGAGCCACCGTGCCCTGCCAAAGCACTGGGATTTCTTAACCTTGAGATTCCTCAGCTGTGATCAAAATCTACTGAGCAGAAAGCATCCAGTTGGGTCTCTTTGATCATCCCTGTCACTTGGAGTGGACGTGGGGAACAGATACAGATATGGAGCTCTTGCTTCCATTTGTGTGATGAACCATCAAATATTTTTCATCAGGCCTAGGAATCTCATGCCTTCTTCTAATATCCATGAAGTTGACAGTCTTCATTTTTTGGCTTGCAAATAGAAAAAAATCCACGAATGTTCACATTTTTGACAGCTTGGGTGATGATGCGATTGATTCTGATAAATCTATAACCTTATAACCTGGTATAAGAGGAAAGTAGAAAGATTCTTCACAGACCTGGCCAGGGCTTATGAGAAGGCTTCCTGGAACAAGTAGCAAATTCTCTTACCCAAATGAGAGTTGAGTAAGAGTAAGATCCCTCCACTCGCCAACCTGTTAGCGAGGTTGTTGTGTGAGAGGGAGAATTGAAAGGAGCAGTCTAAATGTGCTCATATGTTCATTCTCCTAGCCAAAGTAGGAAAGAATGAGGAGTCCACAAAGCTGATAGAGCACTTTGGATAAATAGAAAATACTGTAAGTTCTTGTGGTTTTGCTGAAAGCAGTCAACAGGCTGCTAGAAACTAAAAGGAAATGTGGGTGTTGGTGCCTTGCTTATAAGCAGAGAATCTCTCTCTCTCTATGTACTCGCTGATACCAAAACTTCACTGACAGGGCTTGGGCAGGGTTCACCATGAAAGCAGAAATGTCACAAAACAATGGAGGTGGGGCCTTTGGGGCTAACTCAATGTCTTCTTGTGTTTCTACACCAAAATTTACAGTTAGAATTTTGTTGTATGTGTTTGTGCTTCCCTGTCCCCTAAGTGCCGGAGGGGATTATTCCAGTCTGGGTGGGAGACAGGTAGAAGAGTGTGAGAGAGACAGAATTCTCCATTTGCCACAGAGGGCAGGTCAGTCTTTATCATGAGAACCTTTACACTCTGATATGCAAAATGTTCACCCTGCATGAGCTGTTAGCTGCAAAGACAGAGGTGTCTGTCTCAGTGCTCCTGTCTAGAATAGTAATATCTCTCTGCTAGTAGATGTAGCTGATAATTGAGACTGTGCTTCAAAAAGTTAAAGAAGCAGCCAGGCGCAGTGGCTCACGCCTGTAATCTCAGCACTTTGGGAGGCCGAGCCGTGTGGATCACGAGGTCAGGAGTTCGAGACCAGCCTGGCCAATATGGTGAAACCCCATCTCTAATAAAAATACAAAAATTAGCCAGGCATGGTGGTGCATGCCTGTAATCCCAGCTACTCTGGAGGCTGAGGCAGGAGAATGGCTTGAACCCAGGAAGCGGAGGTTGCAGTGGGCTGAGATCGTGCCACTGGACTCCAGCCTGGGCAACAGAGCAAGACCCCGACTCAAAAAAAAAAAAAAAAGTTAAGCCAATGACTAACAGAAATCCTTGAGTTTACAGGATGGCAAATTAAAAAAAAAAAAAACTTGCTAAAACACTGAAATTCCCTCCACTTACGAGATAAAAGTAATTAGCTGAAATTGGTTTAAACCAATAGAACCAATGGGACTCTGCACAGAATGAGCTTGCTGACATCATAGCCTGAATTTCCACTATGTTTCCTACTAACTCCCCCCAAATTTGCACATATGACCCATGAGGAAGCATGAAGAGATAACTGGGCATGCCCATGGACATTCCAGACCTCCCATTATCATCCGCTAGTCACCTCCTAACCTCAGAAGCTACCCCCCGGTACCTGTTCTAGTAGAAATTCTGCCTTGATGCCAGCAGAGGGAGACAGATTCGGGCTTGGGACTCCTGTCTCTTTGGGAGTGAACTTTCAACATAAAGCTTGTCTCAAAAACAAAAATCCAGTGACAACTCAATGTATTGGCTCTTAGCACATTGGATAGTAAGCACTGTTTTCTCAATAACAAGAAGACCTGAAAAAAACCCAGAGTTCTGCTTTCCAAATAAGGTTTAGTGAAGCTAAGTGGACATATTTTCATTGCTTAATTCTTCCAGCAGTCAAGAAAAACTTGATCACTTTGCCATTTGAGGCCTTTGACAAAAAGAGCCTGCACCTAAAGATATTCTTTGGGGTGTCTGACTCATAGCCACCCTGACACCACTGCAGGTTACACTAATGTGAAAGTCAGTTATAAGCTTGCTACAGAACTCCAGTCAAACTGAATCCAAACTCAAGGAGGGCTGGGGGCTGCCTAGCTTTGTATTCCAATTTTGAGGTGGGTCAATTTGAACTCTTATGAAAGACCTCAAAAGACTACTTGTTAAATATAAATAATGTATTCTAGAAGGAAATTGGACTGGCACAGAAATAGTTCTAAAGGGAAAATCGGAATCTATCTTTGGTGGAAATTTTATGCCCTGCTGCACTATATGAAGCAAAGCTTCTGGCTCTATGGGGCCCCCACTTCACTAAGTATTCCCTAAATTTCTGTCCCTGCTTTACCAATACATGGTGTTCACTGAGCTACTGTCTATGGTGGCTTCTGAACTTCAGTGTCAGCCATGCGGAACCTGAGTGGGGTGGTCACACCACTCAATGGTCAGAACTCAGGGTCATTGCTCACATTATAGCTGTTTGGTCTTTTGCATTAAAAACTATAGACTGTCTGAAAAAAGGAAACCTTTCAGGCTGCAAACTGGAAATAACCTCAGCAGCTGATTTACTGCTGTGTCCAGTCACTCAATTACAAGTCTTTGGCCGGGCGCAGTGGCTCACGCCTGTAATCCCAGCACTTTGGGAGGCTGAGGCTGGTGGATCACCTGAGGTCAGGAGTTTGAGTTGGCCAACATGGTGAAACCCTGTCTCTTCTAAAAATACAAAAATTAGCCAAGCATGGTGGTAGGCGCCTGTAATCCCAGCTACTCGGGAGGCTGAAGCAGGAGAATCGCTTGAACCCAGGAGACAGAGGTTGCACTGTGCCGAGAATGCACCACTGCACTCCAGCTTGGGCGACAGGAGTGAAACTCCGTCAAAAAAAAAAAAAACAGAAGTTTTTAATAAGAGCCTGTTCTCTGAAGAGACTGACTATAACCAGGCTGTGGATTGAATCTGAATCCATGTCTAATGCTGAGGGCAGCACTGCAGCCAGACTTGTGGTTCTTGGTGAAAGGTGATCTTTTTGTCTCACAGTGTGGGAGGCCCCCGACCGTTCTCAATAGAATGACTTCACCGACCTTTTGACTCACTTTGGAAGGTATTGTTAATACCTTGTCACTGCTCACACCATCAACATAAAAACTGACTCCAGACACACCATGTGTCCCTTGAAACTAATCTCTGTCACCTTTTCAAATTTCAGAACCATTTGCACTCTGACAACGTTGTGTCTTTTATCATCAAATCTACTAAAAATTGGCTGATTTTACCATCTTTTCCTTCTCCTGATCCATATGTTACAATTTGTTGACTGAATGTAATTCTTTCTAAAAAGGAATAATCTCTTTTTGACTGCCTCCAGGATAAGAATGAAATGGTTGAGAGCTGTAGAGATCTGTTTCCCAAATTTGAGATTCCACACTGACTACCTGAAAAGATGCATCTCACTGGCCAGGCGCAGTGGCCCACGCCTGTAATCCCAGCACTTTGGGAGGCCGAGGCGGGTGGATCACAAGGTCAGGAGTTCGAGACCGGCCTGGCCAATATGGTGAAACCCCGGTTCTACTAAAAATACAAAAATTAGCCAGGCATGGTGGCGAACGCCTGTAGTCCCAGCTACTCAGGAGGCTGAGGCAGGAGAATTGCTTGAACCTGGGAGGCGGAGGTTGCATTGAGCTGAGATCGGGCCACTGCACTCCAGCCTGGGAGACAGAGCGAGACTCTGTCTCAAAAAAAAAAAAAGAAAGAAAGAAAAGATAATCTTCCTTTCCGCTAAATGCAACCCTAGCTTAGTTTGTACTAGACTAGGGTTTAGAGCTAGTCTTTTGCGGGCTTTCAGAGAGTTCAAATTGACCCACCTCAAAAGTGGAATATAAAGCCACACAGCCCTCAGTCCTCCTTGGGTTAGGATTCAGCTTGACAGGAGCTCTGTAGCAAGCTTTTAGCTGACACCCACCTCAAAAGTGGAATATAAAGCTACGCAGCCCTCAGTCCTCCTTGGGTTAGGATTCAGCTTGACAGGGGCTCGGTAGCAAGCTTTTAGCTGACTTTCACATCAGCTCTAAACCCTAGCTTTCCCCTAACTGCCCCAAGCCTAGTTTGTAGTAGGCTGAGTGGCAACCTAGCCCAAAGTGGGATTATGATACTCCAACTTAGTTGTGGTTGAGTTTTATGTAAACATTTTTGTCGCTATTTCATCTGGCTTTTCTAGATAAAATGTCTAGGAGAAGGTAGGGAGTGACCAGAATAAAGGTGAAATTCTTGGTGCTGAATGAGATACACTAATTTTGTGGATGTAGTTGGGGAGGGATAGCTACCCGAAACCCGCAGAGTAAACAACTGAGACCTCAGGAGATATGGAGAATGGAAGGGCATTAATAACTTTTTGTCTTTCTGAATCACCCTTAGTGAGGGCCAAAGAAAAATCTGGAAATCATGTTGGGAAAGGACAGGGTTAGTATTGGAGCAGATGGTAGGGCAGATGCTGTGGGTTCATATCCTTTTGGTCTCTCCACATCACCCTTCACGGTCCTTTGGGATTGTTCTATCTCTCTCTGTGATGTGGATGTGGAGTTTTATTGAGCATGCATGCTTACTGCCTAGCTGTCTGAGGCTACGGGGGTAGATGATGGAGAACTGTTACTTTTTTTTCTGAGAGACTTAGTATCTCATGGCTGAGCTTAAGCTGGATCTATGGAGCACTGATCCCATTGTCTACTTCTGTGAGCTAGTGCTCCTCCATCTAGTTTCTACCATCTAGAGACGAATCTTATCAATACTTGGGTAAACCAAAGACATAAGTCAGGTAAGGGAATCCTAGACATAGCCCGACTCTTGCCTTTTTCCTCTTCTCACTTTAAATCTTGTTGGCTCAGAGAGTTACCCTCAGATGGAGTCTCTCAGGAGTAATTAGAACATTGTACTTCTAGAGAAGCTGGTGGAACAGGGTAGGGTTCCCAGTTCAAAGCTTCTGTCAAAAACTTCCAGTCTGTGTGTAGTAAATAAATCTAGAAACGATCCTAGAGCTCTGGATGGATCATTAAGAGAGGGCAGGATTTCTGTAGATCAGAATACCAGGACACATGTTCATCCGTCACCTTCCGGGGTCAAATTCTCGGTTAAGCCTGTGTGGTAGGGCTGTAGAGCAGTGTGTGCCTGGGAAAGCCTCTGATCACACATTTCCTCAGGGATTTTTTAGGCCTGATGTCCCTTTGAATTTACTTTAACAATCCTTTTGTAATTTTATTTTTTACATCAATTGTAACTTAGTATTATTATATATATAGGCATTTGGGTGTGTCTTGAAGGCATGTCCTGGTTTCAAACTGATTTGTGGTATATTATTGAATTAGGCCCATTTACTGGAATTATAAACTGCTATCCAACTACACAAAGAGCTGAGGATTCTGGGGAGGTCAGGATGGAGATGAAATAGAAGTGAGGAGAAAATAGCTCTCTCTCTCACATGCAGATTCTTTATGGATAAAATGCATAATTACCTAAAATTTAAAATACTCAAAAAATTATCTAATCAGTATGTAATGGAAATTATAGAGCAAAGAACAAAACAAACACCAAAATAATTTTCTTTTTTCTACATAAAAATTAAATAATTTACATAATGAAATATTCCATGATCCCAGTGTAAAATGCCAATAGAATATATGTAAAAAAAAAAAAAGACAATACCTGTATTAGATTTAAAATCTTCTACAATACATAAGATGAATTGAAATTTTTAGAGTAGAAGAAAGTTTAAAATTAGGTAAATGATATGAGCCAGGTGAAGAATAGGATCATTAAGCATTTAATATACCTTGTCTTAGATTCTGTGTAAGAAAATGAAAAGTAAAAACAATGGCATGGTGATTTCATCAAACTGAAAAAATAGAAGCATTTCTCCAGAGAGAATGCTATTAAAGGTTGGTGAATATCAATCTTCTGAGGACTCGGCCTGGGAGAGTGAAGAGCTACAGCCTTTTCTGAGTTCAAGTGGGGAAGATATAAATATATATTCATTTTGCTACTCTTTTTAATATACAAACATATATGAATGATTACACCCTAATAATATTTTCTGATTTACAGAAATGCATGACTGTCATAAGACAGCCAAAAGACATCAGATGTCTTATATGAAATACAAAATTTGTCAGTAATCAGCCTTAAAGAAAACTGGGTTTACCATTTTCAGTATATTGTTCAAATTCCTTTTCTACAACCACCACAGGTTCTGTTATTAACATGGTGTGTCTAAAGTTGTCACTGCTGGTCATCCAGAAGAATCTGAGAAGCAGCAAGTCTTTGTTTTCACTCCCAGACCTGTTTTCTTTGCTGAATAGGGTCAGGAGACCCCCAGGTCAAGCTTCATCTCATCTATAGATAGGCTGAGTTACCTTTGGTCCAAAAAAGGGCTGGTCCTATCTTTCTCCCAGAAGGAGCTCTGGACTTCTCCAGCCAGGGCTGGACCCTGGCACAAGTCAGGGTGGCTGAGATTCCCAGCCCTCAGCAGGGAACCCAGGCCACCTGGGAGTCCATGGTGTAGAAGTTCTGCACTGCAGCACAGAGGCCCCCAGAGCTGGCAAGCTAAGAGAGCTGCTCCCAGGTCAGCAGAGAATGGACCTACTGTGCTTGTGTCTGAACTAGGTCTTGATAAATGGCCTCAGACTTACCATAGAGGTCACCAGGCTTTTCAGAACTGGCAGCAGGTGGTCTCCTGGGGACTGAGATATGGGCTGCTTGCTGCACCCAGTGCGGACCCTTGGGGATCCACTATGGCAGGCATCACAGGTCTTCTCAGTTTTGCTGCTGTAGGGCCCCCAGCTCATGAACACAGAACAGTCACCTCTCCCATGGCTGAGCATACCCACCAGTAGTGGCCCAGAGTTTCCCCATGGAGAGGCTCCCAGAGGCATATGACAGCCCCTCTGCCATTGCCACAGTAATAGTTCTATCCCTGCTGCCTTTGGTCTGGGGAAGAAACAAAGAACCTGAGAGCTACACCCAAGCTTAACAGCATACCACCACAGCCACCATACCGAGAGACTAGTCTTTTCTCCCTGTGAGCCTTCATCCCATTGCTCCCCAACAAGCAGAACCCCAAGCTTATGCCAGCAGTGCAGGTGCCCCACCCACCAGCTGAACACCCCCAGTAACTATGGTTCTGCATTTCTTGGAGGTGGAGCCCCCAGGAGCAAACAAAAGCCTTGCTACCGCTGTCTGCAGTGGAACTGCCCTTGCTATCCTCAGACAAATGAATGAACAAATACCATAAGTGCCTTATCCACACCTACAACAAACTGCAGTTGACCCAAGGAGAGGAGACCAGTTCATCTCCCACAGGTTCCACCCACTCCCCCTGCTTGTCACCAGATAGGAAACCCTGGGCTTGGTCCCACAGCACAGACCCTCCGTTCTGGGCTGATTGCACTTAGCAATTGCTAACCGGCTCCTCTTGGGTGGAGCCCCCAGGAGACAAGCAAAAGACCTTTGGCCACAACCACTATTAAGGTCCCTTCCTCTGCTGCCTCCAAGCCAGGGGAGGAACATAAGCCCTGAGAGTGCCCCAGAGCTGTGGTGGGCAGCCCAAGAGTGCCAAGCCACAATTTATAGCCAGCATTCAAGTGGGAGAGAAGCCCACACTTTCAGAACATTGAGAGGGAGCATGACTGCAACTGTCAGAAAATATAGGGGAGCCACATGACCAAGCAAGAGCCTACCAACTAACCAGTATGCCTAAGCACCACCTACTGGATCACATCCCGAAGTTCCAACACCAAAAACACCTTGCTAGCATTCCCCTCTGTGAGACCAAAGACAAGTCAGCTACAAATGAAGACCCTGCACAAAGCCTTGGCTCTGCGAAGACATCCAGAAAAAAAAGTGTACTGACTGTACTCAATCTACACTGCAGTTACAGGAACACCCACCTGCAGACATGAGAAAGAACCAATGAAAGAACTCCAGTAACTCAAATGGCCAGAGTGTTGTATGTCCTCCAGATGACCACACCAGTTTTTCAACAAGGGTTCTTACTCAGGCTGAGCTGGCTGGAATGACAAATGGAATTTAGAATATGGATAGGAATTAAGATCATCAAGATTCAGGAAAATGCAAAACCCAATCCAAAAAAACTAAGAATCACTGGAGCTGAAAGACAAGATAACTGATATAAAAAAGAGCCTGATGGTTCTGACAGAGCAGAAAAACACACTACAAGAATTTCATAATGCAGTCACAAGTATTAACAGCAGAATAGACCAAGTGGAGGAAAGACTCTCAGAACATGAAGACTGGCTCTCTGAAATAAGACAGTCAGAAAAATTAAAAAGAATAAAAAATAACAAAACTTCTGAGCAATATGGTATTTTGTAAAGTGGCCAAATCTATGAATTATTGGCATCCCTGAAAGGGATGGGAAGAAAGCAAACAAGTTGGAAAACATTCTAGGATATCATCCACGAAAACTTCCCCAACCTTGGTAGAGAGGCCAGCAGTCACATTCAGGGAAACCAGAGAACCCCTGCAAGATTCTACACAATAAAATCATCCCCAAGACACACAATAATCAGATTTTCCATGGTCAAAATAAAAGAAAGACTGTTAAAGGCAGCTATACAGGGCAGGTCACCTACAAAGGTCACCCCATCAGGCTAACAGCAGACCTCTCAGCTGAAACCCTATAAGCCAGAAAAGACTCAGGGCCTATATTCAACATTCTTAAAGAAAAAAATCTTCAACCAAGAATTTCATACCCAGCCAAACTAAGCTTCCTAAGTGAAAGGGAAATAAGATCCTTTTCAGACAAGCAAATGCTGAGGGAGTTCATTACCACCAGACCTGCCTTATGAGAGATCTTGAAAGGAGCACTAAATATAGAAAGAAAAATCTGCTACCAGCCAATACAAAAACACACTTAAATACACAGATCAGTGACACTATAAAGCAACCACACAAACAAGTCAGCATAATAACCAGCTAACAACATGACAGGATCAAATCCACACATATTAATACTAATCTTGAATGTAAACAGGCTAAATGCCCTGCTTAAAAGGCGCACAATGGCAAGCTCCATAAGAAGGCAAGACCTGATGGTATGTTGCCTTCAAGAGACCCATGCAGTGACCTAGGATCAAAATAAAGAGATGGAGAAAAATCTGCCAAGCAAATGGAAAACAGAAAAGCAGGGGTTACAATCCTAGTTTCTGACAAAACAGATTTAAACCAATAAAGATTTAAAACAACAAGGGTATTACATAGTGGTGTGAACCGTGAAAATTTGAGATGGGTCTCAGTAATTTAGAAAGTTTATTTTGCTAAGGTTGAGGACACGCATCCATGACACAACCCCAGGAGGTCCTGACAACATGTGCCCAGGGTGATCGGAGCACAGCTTGGTTTTACACATTTTAGGGAGACATGAGACATCAATTAACATATGTAAGATGAACATCGGTTCAGTCCAGAAAGGCAGGACAACTCAAAGCAAAAGCAGGACAACTTGAAGTCGGGAGGGAGCTTTCAGGTCATCGGTAGATAAGAGACAATGGTTGCATTCTTTTGAGTTTCTGACTAGCCTCTCCAAAATGAGGCAGTCAGATATGCATTGATCTCAGTGAGCAGAGGGTTAACTTTGAGTAGAACGGAAGGCAGGTTTGCCCTAAGCAGTTCCCAGCTTGACATTTCCAGTTATTTGTTACTGTCAATCATGTTCACACTCAGCTTTAAACAATTTGCCAATTACACTTTCAATTTTCCTACAGATGTACTGGTTCATGAAGATGTGCTTATGGGTTTCTACTCTAGTAAGTTTTGGGTCTATGTATGTACCTTTCTTTCTCTGCACTCTTGGGGCAAGGAATTGCCATGTGATTGATCGGAGAATTGTTCATTTTAAATTAGTCCAGAATTTTTATGTTTTATTTCTTCTAAAACAAACGAAAACGGGATACGTGTAGAACATGTGAGTTTGTTACATGGGTATACATGTGCCGCGGTGGTTTGCTGCACCTATTGACCTGTCCTCTAAGTTCCCTCCCCTCACCCCCCAACCCCCAACAGCCCCTGGTGTGTGTTGTTCCCCCTCTGTTTCCATGTGTTCTCAATGTTCAGCTCTCACTTATGAGTGAGAACGTGCAGTGTTTAGTTTTCTGTTCCTGTGTTTGCTGAGGATGATGACTTCCAGCTTCATCCATGTCCCTGCAAAGCACATGATCTCATTCCTTTTTATGTCTACATAGTGTTCTATGGTATATATATACACATATATATATACACCACATTTTCTTTATCCAGTCTATCATTGATGGGCATTTGGGTTGGTTCCATGTCTTTGCTGTTGTAAATAATGTTGCAATAAACATACGTGTGCACGTGTCTTTATAGTAGAATGATTTATATTCCTTTGGGTATATACCCAGTAATGGGATTGCTGAGTCAAATGGTATTTCTGGTTCTAGATCCTTGAAGAATCGCCACACTGTCTTCCACAATGGTTGAACTAATTTACATTCCCACCAACAGTGTAAAAGCGTTCCTATTTCCCCACAGCCTCACCAACATCTATTGTTTCCTGACTTTTTAATAATCACCATTCTGACTGGCATGAGATGGTATCTCATTGTTTTGATTTGCATTTCTCTGATGATCAGTGATGTTGAGCTTTTGTTCATGTGTTTGTTAGATGCATAAATGTCTTCTTTTGAGAAGTGTCTATTCATATCCCTTGCCCACTTTTTGATGAGTTTTTTGTTTTTTCTTGTAAATATATTTAAGTTCCTTGTAAATTCTGGATATTAGACCTTTGTCAGATGGATAGATTCCAGAAATTTTCTCCCATTTTGTAGGTTGCCTGTTCACTCTGAGGACAGTTTCTTTTGCTGTGCATAAGCTCTTTAGTTTAATTAGATCCAATTTGTCAGTTTTTGCTTTTGTTGCAATTGCTGTCGGCATTTTTGCCATGAAGTTGCCCACGCCTATGTCCTGAGTGATATTCCCTAGGTTTTCTTTCTTTTTTTTTTTTTTTTTTTTTTTGTATTTTTAGTAGAGACAGGGTTTCGCTATGTTGGCCAGGCTGATCTCGAATGCCTAACCTCATGATCCACCCACCTTGGCCTCCCAAACTGCTGGGATTACAGGCACGAGCCACTGCACCTGGCCTCCCTAGGTTTTCTCCTAGGGTTTTTATGGTTTTGGATTTTACATTTAAATCTTCAACCCATCTTGAGTTAATTTTGGTATAAGGAAGCAGTCCAGTTTCCATTTTCTGCATATGGCTGGCTAGTTTTCCTAGCACCATTTACTGAATCAGAGATCCTTTCTTCATTGCTTGTTTTTGTCAGGTTTGTCGAGGATCAGATGGTTTTAGATGTGTGGTGGTATTTCTGAGGTCTCTGTTCTGCTCCGTTGGTCTATATATCTGTTTTGGTACCAGTAGCATGCTATTTTGGCTGCTGTAGCCTTGTAGTATAGTTTGAAGTCAGGTAGCATGATGCCTCCAGCTTTGTTCTTTTTGCTTAGGATTGTCTTGGGTATATTGGGTCTTCTTTGACTCCATATAATTTTTTTTTTTTTTTGAGATGGGTCTGACTCTGTTGCCCAGGCTAGAGTGCGGTGGCATGATCTTGGCTTACTGCAACTTCCAACTCCTGGGATCAAGTGATTCTCTTGCCTCAGCCTCCCCAGCAGCAAGGATTATAGGTGCACACCACCACGCCTGGCTAATTTTTGTATTTTTAGTAGAGATGGAATTTCACCATGTTGGCCAAGCTGGTCTCAAGCTCCTGACCTCAAGTGATATACCCGCCTTGGCCTCCTAAAGTGCTGGGATTACAAGCATGAGCCACTGTGCCTGGCCAATTTCACATGAAATTTTAAATAGTTTTTGCTAATTCTGTGAAGAATGTCAATGGTAGTTTGATGGGAATAGCACTGAATCTGTAAATTACTTTGGGCAGTGTGGCCATTTTTGTGATACTGATTATTCCTATCCATGAAGATGGAATTTTTTCCATTTGTTTGTGTCCTCTCTTACTTCCTTGAGCAGTGGTTTGTAGTTCTCCTTGAAGAGGTCCTTTACATCCCTTGTTAGCTGTACTCCTAGGTATTTTATTCTCTTTGTAGTGATTGTGAATGGGAGTTCATTCATGATTTGACTCTCTGCTTGCCTATTGGTGTAACCAAATGCTTGTGATTTTTGCACAGGGATTTTGTATCCTGAGACTTTGCTGAAGTTGCTTATCAGTTCAAAACGTTTTGGGGCTGAGATGATGGGGTTTTTCAAATATAAAATTATGTCATCTACAAACAGACTTCCTCTCTTCCTATTTTAATACCCTTTTATTTCTCTTGCCTGATTGTCCTGGCCAGAACTTAGGAGTGGTGAGAGAGGTCATCCTTGTCTTATACCAGTTTCCAAAGGGAATACTTCCAGCTTTTGACTATTTAGTATGATATTGGCTGTGGGGTTGTCATAAATAGCTCTTATTATTTTGAGATATGTTCCATCAATACCTCGTTGATTGAGAGTTTTTAACATGAGAGGATGTTGAATTTTATTGAAGGCCTTTACTTCATATATTGAGAGAATCATGTGGTGTTTGTCTTTGGTTCTCTTTATCTGATGGATTATGTTTATTGATTTGCATGTTAAACCAGCCATGCATCCCAGTAATGAAGCTAACTTGATCGTGGTGAATAAGTTTTTTGATGTACTGCTGGATTCAGTTTGCCAGTATTTTCTTGAGGATTTTTGCATTGACGTTCATCAGGGTTATTGGCCTGAAGTCTTCTTTTTTTGTTGTGTCTCTGCCAGGTTTTGGTATCAGGATGATGCTAGCCTTATAAAACGAGTTAGGGAGGAGTCCTTCCTTTTCAATTGTTTGGAATAGTTTCAGAAGGAATGGTATCTGCTCCTCTTTGTATTTCTGGTAAAATTCTGCTGTGAATCCATCTGGTCCTGGGCTTTTTTTGATTGGTAGGCTATTAATTACTGCCTCAATTTCAGAGCTTGTTATTGGTCTACTTAGGGATGTGACGTCTTCCTGGGTTAGTCTTGGTAGGAGTCCAAGAATTTATCCATTTCTTCTAGATTTTCTAGTTTATTTGCATTGAGTGTTTATAGTATTCTCTGATGGTAGTTTTTATTTCTGTGGGGTCAGTGGTGATAACTCCCTTTATCATTTTTTATTGTATCTTTTTGATTCTTCTCTCTCTTATTAGTCTAGCTAGTGGTCTATTTTGTTAATTATTTCAAATAACCAGCTCCTGGGTTTGTTGATTTTTTTGGAGGGTTTTTTGTGTCTCTGTCTTCTTCAGTTCTTATCTTAGTTCTTTCTTGTCTTCTGCTAGCTTTTGGAATAGTTTGCTCTTGCTTCTAGCTTTCTGATGTAGGCATTTAGTACTATGATTTTTCCTCTTAACATTGTTTTAGCTGTGTCCCAGAGATTCTGGTACATTGTCTCTTTGTTCTCATTGGTTTCAAAGAACTTCTTGATTTCTGCTTTAATTTTATTATTTACCTAGCAGTCATTCAGGAGCAGGTTTTTTGATTTCCATGAAATCGTGTGGTTTGGAGTGAGTTTCTTAATCCTGAGTTCTAATTTGATTGCACTGTGGTCCGAGAGACTATTATGATTTCAGTTCATTTGCATTTGCTAAGAAGTGTCTTACTTCCAATTATGTGGTTGATTTGAGAATAAGTGCCATGTGGCACTGAGAAGAATGTATATTCTATTGATTTGTGGTAGAGAGTTCTTTAGACATCTACTAGGTCACTTGATCCAGAGCTGAGTTCAAGTCCTGGATATCCTTGCTAATTTTCTGTCTCATTGATCTAATACTGACAGTGGGGTGTTAAAATCTCATACTATTATTACACAGGAGTGTAATTCCCTTTGTAGGTCTGTAAGAACTTGTTTTATGCATCTGGGTGCTCCTGTATTGGGTGCATATATATTTAGAATAGTTAGCTCTTCCTGTTGAATAGTTCCCTTTACCATTATGCAGTGCCCTTTTTTGTCTTTTTTGATCTTTGTTGGTTTCAAGTCTGTTTTGTCAGAGACTAGGATTGCAATCCCTGCCTTTTTTTTGCTTTACATTTGCTTGGTAAATATTCCTTCATCCCTTTATATTGAACCTATGTGTGTCTTTGCACATAAGATAGGTCTCCTGAATACAGCACACTGATGAGTCTTGACTCGTTATCCAATTTGCCAGTCCAAGTCTTTTAATTGGGGCTTTTAGCCCATTTACATTTAAGGTTATTATTATTATGTGTGAATTTGATCCTGTTGTCGTGATGCTATTTTGTTATTTTGCCCATTAGTTGATGCAGTTTCTTCATAGTGTCATTGGTCTTTATATTTTGGTGTGTTTTTGCAGTGGCTGGTACCAGTTTTTTCTTTCCGTATTTAGTGCTTCTTTCAGGAGCTCTTGCAGCACGGGCCTGGTAGTAACGAAATCCTTCAGCATTTGTCTGGAAAGGATTTTATTTCTCCTTCACTTATGAAACTTAGTTTGGCTGAATATGAAATTCTGAGTTGAAAATTCTTTCCTTTAAGAATGTTGAGGCTGGGCGCCGTGGCTCATGCCTATAATCCCAGCACTTTAGGAGGCCGAGGTGGGTGGGTCACCTGAGGTCAGGAGTTTGAGGCCAGCCTGACTAACATGATGAAACCCTGTCTCTACTAAACACAAAAAACTTGCCGGGCATGGTGGTGCATGCCTGTAATCCCCGCTACTTGGGAGGCTGAGGTGGGAGAATCGCTTGAACCTGGGAGGTGGAGGTTGCAGTGAGCTGAGATCGCACCACTGCACCCCAGCCTGGGTGACAGAGTGAGACTCCATCTCAAAAAAAAAAAAAAAAAAGAATATTGAATATTGATTGAATATTGGCTCCCTATCTCTTCTGGCTTGTAGTTTCTGCTGAGATGTCTACCGTTAGTCTGATGGGCTTCCCTTTGTAGGTGACCTGGCCATTCTATCTGGCTGCCCTTAACAGTATTTCCTTCATTTTGACCTTGGAGAATTTGCTGATTATGTGTCTTGGGGTTGTTCTTCTTGAGGAGTATCTTAATGGTGTTCTCTGTATTTCCTGAATTTGCATGTTGGCCTGTCTTGCTAGGTTGGGGAAGTTCTCCTGGCTAATATCCTGAAGTGTGTTTTCCAGTTTGTTTCCATTCTCCCTGTCTCCTGCTGGTACTCCAGTCAATCATAAGTTCAGTCTTTTTATGAAGTCCCTTATTCCTTGGAGGCTTTGTTAATTCTTTTTCATTTTTTTTTCTCTCTTCTTGTCTGCATGTCTTATTTCAGTAAGGCAGTCTTCATCTTTTCTGAATGTCTTATTTCAGTAAGGTGGTCTTCACACTCTGATATCCTTTCTTCCACTTGGTCAATTCAGCTGTTGATACTTGTGTGTGCTTCATGAAGTTCTCATGCTGTGTTTTTCAGGTCCACCAGGTCATTTGTGTTCTTCTCTAAACTGGTTATTCTAGTTAGCAATTCCTTTTGTAGCAGGAGGAGCCACAGACAAAACTCCTCAGACACCGGGTTAAAGAGGGAAGGAGCTTTATTCAGCTGGGAACTTCAGCAGACTTGCGTCTCAAAAGCCAAGCTCCCTGAGTGAGCAATTCCGTCCCTTTTAAGGGCTCACAACTCTAAGGGGGTCTGCGTGAGAAGGTCGTGATTGATTGAGCAAGCAGGGGGTATGTGACTGGGGGCTGCATGCACTGGTAATCAGAACGGAACAGAACAGGACAGGGATTTTCACAGTGCTTTTCTATGCAATGTCTAGAATCTATAGATAACACAACCGGTTAGGTCAGGGGTCGATCTTTAACTACCAGGCCCAGGGTGTGGCACCGGGCTGTCTGCCTGTGGATTTCATTTCTGGCTTTTAGTTTTTACTCTTTCTTTTGAGGCAGAAATTGGGCATAAGACAATATGAGGGGTGGTCTCCTCCCTTATTCTAACCTTTTATCAAGGTTCTTAGCTTCTTTGCATTGGGTTAGAACATGTTCCTTTAGTTCATTGTAGTTTTTTATTAGCCATCTTCTGAAGCCTACTTCTGTCAGTTTGTCCAACTGATCCTCCATCCAGTTCTGTGGCCTTGATGGAGAGATGTTGTGATCATTTGGAGGAGAAGAGGTACTCTGGCCTTTTGGGTTTTCAGCATTTTTTCATTGATTCTTTCTCATCTTTGTGAGTTTGTCTAGCTTCAGTTTTGAGGCTGCTGGCTCTTGGATGGGGTTTTTCTGAGGGCCTTTTTTGTTGTTGTTGTTGACACTGTTGTCAGTTTCTGCTTGCTTGTTTTTCTTTAAGTAGTCAGGTCCCTCTTCTGTAGGGCTGCCTCAGTTTGCTGGGGGTTCACTTCAGGCGTATTCATCTGATTCACTCCCATGCCTGGAGATGCCACTCAAGGAGGCTAGAGAAGAGCAAAGATGGGTGCCTGCTCCTCCTTCTGGGACTTCTTACCTCAAGGGACACCAACCGGATGCCAGTAGCATCACTCCTGAATAGGGTGTCTGACAACCCCTGTTGGAGGGTCTCACCCAGTTGGGTGGCACAGGGAAAAGGACCCGTTTAATGAAAGACTTTGTCCCTTGGTGGAGAGGGTGTGCTTCACTGGGGGGAAACCCACTCACCTAGGCTGCCAAGATTCCTCAGAACTACCAGGAGGAGAGGCTAAGTCTGCTGGTCAGCAGAGACTGCGGCCACCCCTCCCCCTAGGGGCTCAGGCCTAGGGAGATCCAAATTCTGTCCCTGAGCATCTGGCTGGAGTTATTGGAGACCCTCCAGGGAAGCCCCACCCAATGAAGAAGGGATTAGGCCTGAAGAGGCACTCTGGCTGCAAACTGCCACAGCCGGTGTATTGGGCTGTAGGGACAGGTCTTGGGACCTAGCTGTACAGCCTCCCTGGCTAAAGCAGGGGAAAAGTGCAGCCTGGAGCTATAGAAATGGGTGCCAACCTCCTCCCGTCCAGGGAGCTTAGCACGTTAGGCAGTTGGAGTCCCAGTACTGGCTGCTGCCCCTCCCCAAGGAACTCAAATGGCTTAGACAGCAGGCAGCCACGGCCAGTGCTGGTTGCCCCTCCCCCTGGGAGTTGGGTAGGCTTAAGTAGATTCCAGCTGAAAGGCTGTAAGAATCTGGGCGTTCCAGGGTTGGGACGGCAGGCCTCGGTGGCGTGGGTTTGCGAGTGGGATCTTCCAATCCGTGGGTTGCACAGCTCCATGGAAATAGCAGTTTCCCCAGCTGGGTAGCGCACTCACTCACTGCCTCCCTGGGCTGGAGGAGGAGGCTCCCCTTCCCCGCCTGGCTCTCAGGTGGGCCGCAGCACCACACTGTTCTTCCTTCTCTCCATGGGTCACACCATCCTTCTAGTCAATTTTGATGAGAGAACCTGGTTGCTGGTGAAGGATTCACATGCTTATTATGAGTTTTTTAGTTTGTTTGTTTTGTTTTGATTGTCGCCCAGGTTGGGGTGCAATGGCATAATCTCAGCTCACTGCAATCTCCACCTCCTGGGTTCAAGCGATTCTCCTGCCTCAGCCTCCCGAGTAGCTGGGATTACAGGCATACGCCACCACGCCCAGCTAATTTTTCGTATCTTTAGTAGAGATAGGTTTCACCATGTTGGTCAGGCTGGTCTTGAACTCCTGACCTCATGATCTGCCCACCTCGGCCTCCCAAAGTGCTGGGATTACAGGCGTGAGCCACCGCGCTTGGCCCCCACTTTGTTTCAAATGAAAAAATACTCAGTGTTTGAAGAGTCCAGCAAAATCACTCAAACTCTGCTTTTATGTATGTTGGAGGGAATAAAATTGCAAGGCACTTACATTTCATACCTCAACAGGGAAAGCAGAAGTATTCCTTTCATACAATAAACAAGTCATGTAATTATTTACATGATAACATATTATTTCATAAAGAAATTATTTCGATGTTAACACATCTAAAAATGCCAAGTCCCCACCCACAGATTTGCCATTAAACTTGGACATCCAGGTAACAGGAAACAGAGTCATCCACTGTCACAGAATCTCCGCTCGGCACAAAGGTGGAACTGATGCTTTAGTGAGCTTCTGTTAGTGAGTATACTTTCTTGTGAAAACGTATTTTTCTGCAGCCATAATGGAAGACAGTGTCCCTATTTTTCCCTGGTAGCATTCCCAAAGCTAAGCCCTGGAATTCGGGTTGAAACCACCCCCAGAAAAGAACAAACCTGTGAAACTTACTACACTCCCTCTGGGCAAGAAAAAAGCCATTTAAGAATTTTTAACAAATGAAATATATGACTAGATATCTAATATTTTTCTGATATACACCTCTTTCTTGGCCTTTTGAAAATATTATCTCTCAAGCTGTACTGATAAAATGTATTTTTCAATCAGCGAAAAACTGAAGTTAAAATAAGTGAACAAGTATTTTCAAGGTGACAAACGAGTAGCAGTACTGACGAGCACGGACATGGCTGACTCAAGGGTCAAGTCAGACCATCCCATCTCCTGAATCCTCCCACCCCATCCTGCTCGGGGAAGTACTCAATGTCCACCCTCCCTCTCATCTCCTGAATCCTCCCACCCCATCCTGCTGGGGGAAGTACTCAATGTCCACCCTCCCTCTCATCTCCTGAATCCTCCCACCCCATCCTGCTCGGGGAAGTACTCAATGTCCACCCTCCCTCTCATCTCCTGAATCCTCCCACCCCATCCTGCTGGGGGAAGTACTCAATGTCCACCCTCCCTCTCATCTCCTGAATCCTCCCACCCCATCCTGCTCGGGGAAGTACTCAATGTCCACCCTCCCTCTCATCTCCTGAATCCTCCCACCCCATCCTGCTGGGGGAAGTACTCAATGTCCACCCTCCCTCTCATCTCCTGAATCCTCCCACCCCATCCTGCTCGGGGAAGTACTCAATGTCCACCCTCCCTCTCATCTCCTGAATCCTCCCACCCCATCCTGCTCGGGGAAGTACTCAATGTCCACCCTCCCTCTCATCTCCTGAATCCTCCCACCCCATCCTGCTGGGGGAAGTACTCAATGCCCACCCTCCCTCTCATCTCCTGAATCCTCCCACCCCATCCTGCTGGGGGAAGTACTCAATGTCCACCCTCCCTCTCATCTCCTGAATCCTCCCACCCCATCCTGCTGGGGGAAGTACTCAATGCCCACCCTCCCTCTCATCTCCTGAATCCTCCCACCCCATCCTGCTGGGGGAAGTACTCAATGTCCACCCTCCCTCTCATCTCCTGAATCCTCCCACCCCATCCTGCTGGGGGAAGTACTCAATGTCCACCCTCCCTCTCATCTCCTGAATCCTCCCACCCCATCCTGCTGGGGGAAGTACTCAATGCCCACCCTCCCTCTCATCTCCTGAATCCTCCCACCCCATCCTGCTGGGGGAAGTACTCAATGTCCACCCTCCCTCTCATCTCCTGAATCCTCCCACCCCATCCTGCTGGGGGAAGTACTCAATGTCCACCCTCCCTCTCATCTCCTGATCCTCCCACCCCATCCTGCTCGGGGAAGTACTCAATGTCCACCCTCCCTCTCATCTCCTGAATCCTCCCACCCCATCCTGCTGGGGGAAGTACTCAATGTCCACCCTCCCTCTCATCTCCTGAATCCTCCCACCCCATCCTGCTGGGGGAAGTACTCAATGCCCACCCTCCCCCAGAAAACTGCGCCGTGTCCCCACTGTGCCCCAAATGCATTTTGCTTTTCAGGTTCCTGCCTCACTGCGGGGCGGGGTTTCCTTGTACTTTGGAATAGCTGTTCTCCCTTCACAAGCATGAGACAATCCAGAGGGCAGAAATTCTTTCTTCCCTCAATACCAGTATCCGACTGCCTGACCAGCATTTTGTCTCTAAGGAGTGATAACGGGGGTAAGAGAAAAAAAAAAATCTAAGTCCTAGTGGATTAGCTTTTTAGAGGAAGAGTATAGAAGAGTATCCCAGGAGACTCCTCTCGGTCCCAGGGGATTCATGCCATCCAGCTGCTCCTCTGAGAGGCTCCACCCCTAAACCTCACCTTGTCTTCTGGGAGAAGAGGACCCAACAGCTGACATTCACTATTTATGACACTCCAAGAGACAGGGCCAGTGTGGGCACATTAGGTCATCCTCAAACAGTTTTGAACCCAGGACCCAGAAAAGACAGGAGGGTGGCTGAGGACACAACACCACGTGAAGGTTCCAAAGGGAAACCTCCATCCAAAGACGTTTGTGAGTGTGCCTAGGGAAGACAAAAGGAGGAGAGGTACAAAGAATTTTTTATAGTGGACTAGATCAGGTGATTATTCTCTGTTTTCACAAGGAATGTTCAGAAACAGCTCCTCACTGCTCAGTGAAAACATGATAAACAATTACAATACTGCATCTGGTTCAAATGCACAATAAAGAACAAATAATAATGTTGTAAATTGGAAAGGGGAAGTTGGAGTTTGAGAGTACGAGGAAGAAACTGGAAATTCAGAATTTTACTGCAAGTTCTAGAAGAGTTAGGCTGGGGAATACGGTCAT
The DNA here is from genome assembly GCF_000001405.40 of Homo sapiens. Taxonomy (NCBI): domain Eukaryota; kingdom Metazoa; phylum Chordata; class Mammalia; order Primates; family Hominidae; genus Homo; species Homo sapiens. The sequence continues at coordinate 247,128,003 of NC_000001.11, read as the reverse complement.
GGATTTGAGACCCTGCTTGCCTTACATTTGGAAAATGCAGGGGAAACCAGTACCCTTGTGGAAATAATTAAATAGGAAGAAATTAGACTGAAGTTGTAGCAGGACAAGCTGCAGACAAAACCCCTCAGACACCGAGTTAAAGAAGGAAGGGCTTCATTCTGCCGGAAGCTTTGGCAAGACTCACGTCTCCAAAAAACCGAGCTCCCCAAGTGAGCAATTCCTGTCTCTTTTAAGGGCTTACAGCTCTAAGGGGGTCCGCGTGAGAGGGTCGTGATCGATTGAGCAAGCAGGGGGTACGTGACTGGGGGCTGCATGCACCGGCAATCAGAACGGAACAGAACAGGACAGGGATTTTCACAGTGCTTTTCCATACAATGTCTGGAATCTATAGATAACACAACCGGTCAGGTCAAGGGTCAATCTGTAACCAGGCCCAGGACGCGGCGCCGGGCTGTCTGCCTGTGGATTTCATTTCTGCCTTTTAGTTTTTACTTCTTCTTTCTTTGGAGGCAGAAATTGGGCATAAGACAATATGAGGGGTGGTCTCCTCCCTTAAGTGATGATGGTGCCCTGAGTTCCTCACCAAGAAAACCTAAAGGTACTTCATGCCTTTCTTGTAATTAACTTGAAGGGAAAGAAAACTTAACCCCAAATCAGCAATTTACCTCTGATTACATAACCAGGAACCATCCACCTAAATAATCCGAATAACAGAACTACATAATTATAACCAATCAGTTATTAAATTGGGGTTGCTTTGGGCTGGGCGGGGTAATCCCAGCACTTCGGGAGGTTGAGACCAGAAGTTCAAGACCAGCCTGGGCAACACAGGGAGACCCCCCCCCCGCCCCACCCGATCATTAAAATAAAAAATAAATAAATTTGGTTTGTTTCCTTACACACTTTACAGAAGCCTTTCCATCAAGACCGTCCGGTGGCCCACAAACCAAAAACCGTGGCTGGGTGCTCCCCTACTCATGAATCGCTGTTTGCTCAAACTCTGTAACGCTTTAATTAAACCTCAGTTTAATTTTTAACAGGATTAAGGAGGGACTGGAAACGCCAGTGGCCACAGCTCCTCGCAGGCGCGAGCCCGCACACCGCGCTGGGCCTCTCCCCTGAGGCGCCTCGGGTCTCACTGCAGGATCCCGAGGAGCCGCGGGGCTGCGGGCGCGGGCCGGGGAGGGAAGCTGCTTCGGGCAGGACGGAAGTCGCGGTGCAGAGACGGGACCGGAGCCCGGGGTGCCGCTGCCCGCCCAGCTCTGCCGGGCGCCAGAAAGGACCGAGGGCCGCGCCGCGCCGCGCCAGCAGGGACCCGGGTCCGCCCTCGGGAGCCGACCGCTGGGAGCCCGGGGCCCGGGGCCGCCACAGCCCCTTCCCTTCTCCAGACCCCCGGCGGCGCAACTCACCATTTCCCAGCTTCCGGGGTGTCCCGACATCCTCCCTGCGAATCCCCCAGTACATGCAGGTCACAGGAGGGCCCCGGCTGCGGCAGAGCCTCCTGAACCGCCGAGAGTGAAGGAGAAGCGCAGGGCTACTGACCGAGACACGCACGTGCGGGCACGAGAGACAAAGGCCGGGCACACCCGGAAGCCGCCTCGGGTTTTCTAGCGGAGCGCCGGATTAGGCAGTCCCCGCCCCGGTGCCCCTGATTGGGTAGGGCCTCAGGCCCCGCCCCCTCAGACTCTTAGTGACAGGTGACAGCTCCCGCGCGTGTCTGAATGAGGCAGCGTTCTGGCTACAGCTCTTCTCCAAGAGGGTTTCCTCTCTGGGTTGGGACCCAGCCTTGCCTAGGGGACATTCATTTATATACACTTAACCTTGTATACAATGTTACATTCATTTGTGAATAATATATATGATATTTAAAATAGGGTACAATATAATAATAATTTTTGTATCTTTAGTAGAGACGGGTTTCACCATGTTGGTCAGGCTGGTCTCGAACTTCTGACCTCATGATCCGCCCACCTCAGCCTCCCAAAGTGCTGGAATTATAGGTGTGAGCCACTGTGCCTGGACTATTACATTTTCTAGAATTTTATATGAATACAATTGTACAATATTTACTTTTTTTCCCCAGTGAAAATAGCTTTTATTCAAATGTCCTTACTTTTATCTGGATTATTTTACTTGGACTAATTAATATGAGATCCAGCCACATTGCTGCATGTAGTTTAAATGGGTGAATTCTATGCTGTTTGAATCCTCTCTCAATAAAGTTGTTACCAAAAACTCAATGAGATACCACTGCATTCCCAGTAGGATGACTAAAATGAAATAAATAAACAGATGGCTGGGTGCGGTGGCGCCTTTAATCGGCGCCGGCGCCGATCACGAGGTCAGGAGTTGGAGACCAGCCTGGCGAATGTGGTGAAACCCCGTCTCTACTAAAAATGCAAAATTTAGCCGGGTGTGATGGCAGACGCCTGTAATCCCAGCTACTCAGGATGCTGAGGCAGGAGAATCCCTTGAAACGGGAAGGCAGAGGTTGCAGTCAGTGGAGATCTCCAGCCTGGGCGAAAGAGGAAACTCTGCCTCAAAAAAAAAAAAAAAAAAAAAAAAAAAAAAAAGACAAAAACAGGTGTCGGTGAAGATACGGAGAAATTGGAACCCTCACACCCTGCTGGTGGGATTGCATAATGGCGCAGCCACTCTGGAAAACAGTCTGGCAACCCCTCTAAAATTCAAACATAGAGGTACCATTTGACCCAAAAACTCCACCCCCAGGTACAGATACACAAGAGAAATTAAAACATCCACAAAAAAGCTAGTACACAAATGTTCACAGCAGCAGCATTCGTAACAGCCAATGTGTGAAAAAGTCTCCAGTGTCCGTCAGAGGATAAAATGTGGTCTATCCTTGCAATGAAATCTTATTCACCCATAAGAAGGAATGAAGGCCGGGCGCTGTGGCTCATGCCTGTAATCCCAGCACTTTGGGAGGCGTAGGCAGGTGGATCACTTGAGCCCAGGAGTTGCCAGCCTGGGAAACATGATGAGAGCTCGTCTGTACTAAAAATGCAAAAAAATAAAAAAATAGCCGGGCATGGCGGTGTGTGCCTGTAGTCCCAGCTATTGGGAGGCTGAGGTGGGAGGATCACCTGAGCCTGGGGAGGTCGAGGATGCAGTAAGCCATGATCACACCACTGCACTGCAGCCTGGGTGACAGAGCGAGACCCTGTCTCTAAAACAAAAGGAATGAAATGCTGATACATACTACAACATGAATGAACCTTGAAAGTATTTGGCTAAGTAAAAGAAGCCACATACACACACACACAAACCCCACATATTGCGTGATTTTATTTTTATATGAAATGTCCAGAATTGGCAAATAGAGACAGAAAGTAGATTAGTAGATTAGACAGAAAGTTGCATAGGCTGGGGGGAAAGGAGTTGGCTGCTACAGGATGCAGAATTTCTTTATGGGGTGATCATCTCAAATTGACTGTGATGATGGTTGGGCAACTCTGTGGATGTACTAAAAGCCACAGAATCAGAGCCGGGCGTGGTGGCTCACGCCTGTAATCCCAGCACTTTGGGAAGCCGCGGCGGGTAGATCACAAGGTCAGGAGTTTAAGACCATCCTGGCCAACATGGTGAAACGCTGTCTCTACTAAAAATACAAAATTAGCCACATGTGGTGGCCTGCACCTGTAATCCCAGCTACGCAGGAGACTTAGGCAGGAGAATCGCTTGAACCTGGGAGGTGGAGGTTGCAGTGAGCCAAGATCACACCTTTGCACTCCAGCCTGGGCGACAGAGCGAGACTCTGTCTCAAAAAAAAAAAAAGCCACAAAATCATTCATTTTAAATGGCTAAATTTTACGTGTGTGATCCCAATAAAGCTATTAACAAAAAATGGCTCACGTAGGCCGGGCGCAGTGGCTCACGCCTGTAATCCCAGCACTTTGGGAGGCCGAGGCGGGCGGATCATGAGGTCAGGAGATCAAGACCATCCTGGCTAACACGGTGAAACCCCGTCTCTACTAAAAATACAAAAAATTAGCCGGGCGTGGTGGCGGGTGCCTGTAGTCCCAGCTAAAAGCACATCACAAAGGGCATAAATACAGGAAGGGATGAAGAGTTGCTGCCATTTTTGCAATCAGTATCATGCCTTTTCTTGCAGATGAGGTTTATATAACTTTCCAAGACAAGGAAGTTGTGCAAAGCCTCACAGCTACTAAGAGGCTGGGCTGGGACTCAGGATTAACTTCGTGACTCCAAAGCCCATGCACCTCTGCAAGCCACACGAATCAAGCAGCTTCTCTAAACCTTTGAAGTCCTGGAAAGTAACTCTTCTGCAATAGAAGCAAGAATCCTGTGAGATTGGGATCCATCTAGTACTCTTCACCATTTGGAACAACTGCCTCCAGAGAATGCTTCTGACGCATCTTGGAAGAACTTGGAATAACCTGAGGAAATGGTCGATTTGCTAATTTAGGAAACCAATGTTCGATACGTGTGTGATCCCAATAAAGCTATTAACAAAAAACGGCTCACGTAGGCCGGGCGCAGTGGCTCACGCCTGTAATCCCAGCACTTTGGGAGGCCGAGGCGGGCAGATCACAAGGTCAGGAGATCGAGACCATCCTGGCTAACACGGTGAAACCCCATCTCTACTAAAAATACAAAAAGTAGCCGGGCGTGGTGGTGGATGCCTGCGGTCCCAGCTACTCAGGAGGCTGAGGCAGGAGAATGGCATGAACCCGGGAGGCGGAGATTGCAGTGAGCCGAGATCGCGCCACTGTACTCCAGCCTGCGTGACAGAGCGAGACTCCGTCTCAGAAAAAAAAAAAAAGAACATAATATGTGTATTGTGTCTCATGTACACTGTTGAAGAGGTAGCAGCCCATGATTGATGAAATAGTCCAGTGATCTTATGAGATACAAGTTTGTTTTCATGTTCTCTCTCTGACATTGTCTATGCTTAGTTATTGTGTTCATGCTTATTCCTTCATGGTCCAAGTTGGCTGTCCCACCTCCAGGCATCAAACCACATTCCAAACAGCAACCAGGAGGAAATAGTAAGCTGATAGGTCATGGGGAATTAGGTTGGAAGCCATTGCTTTTTAATTTACAGAAGTCCATTCTCCCCAGGCACTTCTTTCTAAGTCTCATTGATCAGAACTCAACCACGTGGCCACCATCAGCAGAAACATCTCTCTGTAGCACCGTGAAACACATGAGAACATAACTGGGGATGACCGTTGTTACTTGAACTATTTTGAAAGATCTGACATAAAGGTCATCGCCTTGTGCACTTCAATGGGTGTTACTGCAAAACTCCCAGGGCTAGGCATGGCGACATACACCCGAAATCTCAGCTATCTGGGAGGCTGAGGTGGGAGGATTGCTTGAGCCCACGAGTTTGAGGCTGAAGTGTGCCTGTGAATAGCTACTGCACTCCAGTGCCTAGGACACATAGGGAGACCTCACTTTTTTATGGCTGCATAGTATTCCATGGTAAAGAAATGTACCACATTTTCTTTATCCACTTCACTGTTGATGGGCATTTATCCACTTCACTGTTGGTGGGAATTTAGGTTGAATCCATGTCTTTGCTATTGAAGTCACACTTTTTAATCAAGTTATTTAACTTTCCTGTGTTCATTTGTGTTATATACCAGAACATTTTTATTTCTATGGTTTTAATGCCACCTAATATGATTATCAATGTGTCATTCTCCATAAATCATTGTGTTATACATGTTAAACGATTAGGTATTAAGTGTATAGGTATAAATCACTTAGAATAATGACTAACACATTGTATGAACTAAATAAGTACTGATTCATCTGATTCATCAAATTTCCATTATTCATACCATTCATTATTTATTAAGTGGTGTAGTATTTGTTCTTATCAACATTTGCTTTTCTGTCCTATCTAAATATTAATGAAACAGTGGATGTGGGCTCAGTGTGCTGTCTTGAAATAATCCAAAGTCAAATGGCATGCTTCACTGGTTTCCTTTAGATGCAATAACTCATTTGACTCACACAATAAAAATGAGTATTAAGTATATCAGCTATCCTTATATTTGTCATGCTACAACAGAGAAAACTCTGGGTCACTGGGCACCGTGGCTCACGCCTGTAATCCCAGCACTTTGGGAGGCCAAGGCAGGTGGATTGCCTGAGCTCAGGAGTTCAAGACTAGCCTGGGCAACATGGTGAAACCCCGTCTCTACTAAAGTACAAAAAATTAGCCGGGTATGGCAGCAGGCACCTGTAGTCCCAGCTACTCGGGAGGCTGAGGGAGGAGAATTGCTAGAACCTGGGAGGCGGAGGTTACAGTGAGCCAAGATCATGCCACTGCACTCCAGACTGGATGACAGAGCAAGATTTTGTCTCTTAAAAAGAAAAGAAAAGAAAACTCTTGGTCATTCACTGATGACACCAAAGCCCTACCCTCATAAATCTTCCATGTCGACTGCCCAGAAAACCTAAAAACGTGGAAACTATGGAATACTACAAACGCAGAATAAATATTTCATTAGGAACAAATTATCAAGGTAAACCCGAGATGAAATAGGATAAATACACATATAGTAAAAAGATTTAATTAATTTAAAAATATACAAAGTTGCAGAGAGAAAAGCAAATGTTTTTGAACCAATTATGAGAGACAGTCACAGGAGTGATTCCCACTTTTATGAATTGACACATTCTTTAGGAGAAACCACATCTAATTTTGGACTTTGGTTCATAGCAGGTTCTATATGAACCAACAAGTTCATATCCTGGAGAACTACTCAGTGCACAGGATTTTGTTTCCTGCTGGTACCTTTTTTTTCTGAGACAGTGTCTCTGTCTCCGAGGCTGGAGTGCAATGGCACCATCTGGGCTCACTGAAGTCTCGACTTCCCGGGTTCAAGAAGGAAAATTGCTCCCACCTCAGCCTCCTGAGTAGCTGGGACTACAGGTGCATGCCGCCACCACACCCAGCTCATTTTTCTTTTTTTTTTGAGACGGAGTCTCGCTCTGTCGCCCAGGCTGGAGTGCAGTGGCGCGATCTTGGCTCACTGCAAACTCTGCCTCCTGGGTTCATGCCATTCTCCTGCCTCAGCCTCCCGAGTAGCTGGGACTACAGCTGCCCGCCACCACGCCTGGCTAATTTTTTTTTTTTTTTTTTTTTTTTTTTTAGTAGAGATGGGGTTTCACCATGTTAGCCAGGATGATCTCAATCTCCTGACCTCTTGATCCGCCCACCTCGGCCTCCCAAAGTGCTGGGATTGTTGTATTTTTTGTAGAGATGGGGTTTCACTGCGTTTCCCAGGCTGGTCTCAAAGTCCTGGACTCAAATGATCCTCCCGCTTCGGCCTTCCAACATAATTTTGTCTTTCATAGGTTACTCCAAAAATTCTATAATGCTAGTAGATTTCAATGAAATCTACCCGTGAAGTGAAGACTTCAGTGAAGCGAGGCCTCCAGCCTGCCCATTCCCCTGTACCCAGCCAATGGTGGTGCCCACCTTGAGAACAGTGAGGTAGGGCGTGCTGTCCACCCTGTGCCCAGCCAATGGTGGTGCCCACCTTGAGAACAGTGAGGTAGGGCGTGCTGTCCACCCTGCACCCAGCCAGGGGTGGTGCCCACCTTGAGAACACTGAGGTACGGTGTGCTGTCCACCCTGTGCCCAGCCAATGGTGGTGCCCACCTTGAGAACAGTGAGGTAGGGCGTGCTGTCCACCCTGTACCCAGCCAACGGTGGTGCCCACCTTGAGAACAGTGAGGTACGGTGTGCTGTCCAGGCCCGCCTTGCTGACATTCACCTCCGTGTGCTAAGGTGCTGTACACCTGCCATGGAGCTGCACCTCGCTGCCTAGCAGAAGGCGCTGGTGAGGAGAACACATTGAGAGGGCCCAGCTGGGCTTAGGGCTACCTCACTTCATGCTCCCTGCCTGAAGGCCACAGCCCACACACAGCCTGTCCAGCATGTAAGTTTGCTGGATGCTGCTGAGCTTGTTCTTCATGACATGTGTGGAAAACAGCAGTCTGAACGCACCGCCCTCTTCATAACCAGACTCTACTGCCGGTGCCTCGGCTCCAAGTGGAAGGGCGAGAGAGGATGGCAGCCATGCCCCCACCACCCTCCAGGCCCACCTCGATGCTCGCGTGTGATGCTTTCCACAGAACTTCTTCTGGCTCTTCAGCCAGATGGAGGGAGTAGAGTTGCCCATGGTCAGGCATCAGAAGCAAATGGTGTTGGTGTCTGGCACCACAAGCTGGTTCCTGTCCACCCGCTGGAGCTGAGTCCAGTGGGGTCCCTGCTGGCAGAGTGCACAGGAAGGCCATAGCCAAGGTGGGGAGCAGAGGCCCGTCTGACCCGACGCCCTTCCAACCTTGCCCTCGCCTGCAATCTCGGTTTTTCCTCCTGTGTAGGGAGTGTTGGCCTTTTAAAGACCCCTGCTGAAGTAGACGAGGCTCCCAGGAGCCCCGACGTCATGTTCCCCCATCTCAGGCTTTCTCAGAGCTGGGCCATGTGTCCCCTCCCTGTCTGCTTCCTCCAGCTGGCAGCTCCTGCTGAGAGGTCCAGCGTGCTCCACCTTGGCCTTGAGACCTTCAGGTCATAAGGGCATCTGCCAGCGGAGTACCCACCTGCCCAGGGAAGCACACTGAGGCAGGCCCACCAGGAGAAGGCCCAGGACCCAGCTGGGTGCATGAACCGGCACAGGCCTTGGGAACAGTTTACCAGAAGGGGAAATCCGGCTGCCTGGAGAACTGGGAGCTTCAGAGATGGCTGGGCAGCGATGGCCCACTAGAATCTGCGCCCCTAGGCCTCCCTCTGTAGAGCTCCAGGGCTTGGTGGGTACCGGGTGAGGATGGCATCCAGGAGGCCCCGTCTCTGCCCCCTTCTGGTGTCCAGGGCTGCTGCAGCCTCTACCCTCAGCCCAACGGTTTTCTCCTTCCTAAGGACTGGTTTGGGGGCGGCCTTCCTGCCAAGACTCTTGGAAATGCTGAACTGTCATCCCCCAGGAGGGGGCACCAGGGGACCAGGAGGAAGATAAGCCCTCCCCGTGATGACCTTGCTGTCACCCGCCCACAGGGACACGCCCCCTCCCCGTGATGACCTTGCTGTCACCCGCCCACAGGGACACGCCCCCTCCCCGTGATGACCTTGCTGTCACCCCCCCACAGGGACACGCCCCCTCCCCGTGATGACCTTGCTGTCACCCCCCCACAGGGACACGCCCCCTCCCCGTGATGACCTTGCTGTCACCCCCCCACAGGGACACGCCCCCTCCCCGTGATGACCTTGCTGTCACCCGCCCACAGGGACACGCCCCCTCCCCGTGATGACCTTGCTGTCACCCCCCCACAGGGACACGCCCCCTCCCCGTGATGACCTTGCTGTCACCCGCCCACAGGGACACGCCCCCTCCCCGTGATGACCTTGCTGTCACCCCCCCACAGGGACACGCCCCCTCCCCGTGATGACCTTGCTGTCACCCCCCCACAGGGACACGCCCCCTCCCCGTGATGACCTTGCTGTCACCCGCCCACAGGGACACGCCCCCTCCCCGTGATGACCTTGCTGTCACCCCCCCACAGGGACACGCCCCCTCCCCGTGATGACCTTGCTGTCACCCCCCCACAGGGACACGCCCCCTCCCCGTGATGACCTTGCTGTCACCCCCCCACAGGGACACGCCCCCTCCCCGTGATGACCTTGCTGTCACCCCCCCACAGGGACACGCCCCCTCCCCGTGATGACCTTGCTGTCACCCCCCCACAGGGACACGCCCCCTCCCCGTGATGACCTTGCTGTCACCCCCCCACAGGGACACGCCCCCTCCCCGTGATGACCTTGCTGTCACCCCCCCACAGGGACACGCCCCCTCCCCGTGATGACCTTGCTGTCACCCCCCCACAGGGACACGCCCCCTCCCCGTGATGACCTTGCTGTCACCCCCCCACAGGGACACGCCCCCTCCCCGTGATGACCTTGCTGTCACCCCCCCACAGGGACACGCCCCCTCCCCGTGATGACCTTGCTGTCACCCCCCACAGGGACACGACCCCTCCCCGTGATGACCTTGCTGTCACCCCCCACAGGGACACGACCCCTCCCCGTGATGACCTTGCTGTCACCCCCCCACAGGGACACGCCCCCTCCCCGTGATGACCTTGCTGTCACCCTCCCACAGGGACACGCCCCCTCCCCGTGATGACCTTGCTGTCACCCGCCCACAGGGACACGCCCCCTCCCCGTGATGACCTTGCTGTCACCCCCCCACAGGGACACGCCCCCTCCCCGTGATGACCTTGCTGTCACCCCCCCACAGGGACACGCCACCTCCCCGTGATGACCTTGCTGTCACCCGCCCACAGGGACACGCCCCCTCCCCGTGATGACCTTGCTGTCACCCCCCCCACAGGGACACGCCCCCTCCCAGGGATGACCTTGCTGTCACCCGCCCACAGGGACACGCCCCCTCCCCGTGATGACCTTGCTGTCACCCCCCACAGGGACACGACCCCTCCCCGTGATGACCTTGCTGTCACCCCCCACAGGGACACGACCCCTCCCCGTGATGACCTTGCTGTCACCCCCCCACAGGGACACGCCCCCTCCCCGTGATGACCTTGCTGTCACCCTCCCACAGGGACACGCCCCCTCCCCGTGATGACCTTGCTGTCACCCGCCCACAGGGACACGCCCCCTCCCCGTGATGACCTTGCTGTCACCCCCCCACAGGGACACGCCCCCTCCCCGTGATGACCTTGCTGTCACCCCCCCACAGGGACACGCCACCTCCCCGTGATGACCTTGCTGTCACCCGCCCACAGGGACACGCCCCCTCCCCGTGATGACCTTGCTGTCACCCCCCCCACAGGGACACGCCCCCTCCCAGTGATGACCTTGCTGTCACCCGCCCACAGGGACACGCCCCCTCCCCGTGATGACCTTGCTGTCACCCCCCACAGGGACACGACCCCTCCCCGTGATGACCTTGCTGTCACCCCCCACAGGGACACGACCCCTCCCCGTGATGACCTTGCTGTCACCCCCCACAGGGACACGACCCCTCCCCGTGATGACCTTGCTGTCACCCCCCCACAGGGACACGCCCCCTCCCCGTGATGACCTTGCTGTCACCCTCCCACAGGGACACGCCCCCTCCCCGTGATGACCTTGCTGTCACCCGCCCACAGGGACACGCCCCCTCCCCGTGATGACCTTGCTGTCACCCCCCCACAGGGACACGCCCCCTCCCCGTGATGACCTTGCTGTCACCCCCCCACAGGGACACGCCACCTCCCCGTGATGACCTTGCTGTCACCCGCCCACAGGGACACGCCCCCTCCCCGTGATGACCTTGCTGTCACCCCCCCCACAGGGACACGCCCCCTCCCAGGGATGACCTTGCTGTCACCCGCCCACAGGGACACGCCCCCTCCCCGTGATGACCTTGCTGTCACCCCCCACAGGGACACGACCCCTCCCCGTGATGACCTTGCTGTCACCCCCCACAGGGACACGACCCCTCCCCGTGATGACCTTGCTGTCACCCCCCCACAGGGACACGCCCCCTCCCCGTGATGACCTTGCTGTCACCCTCCCACAGGGACACGCCCCCTCCCCGTGATGACCTTGCTGTCACCCGCCCACAGGGACACGCCCCCTCCCCGTGATGACCTTGCTGTCACCCCCCCACAGGGACACGCCCCCTCCCCGTGATGACCTTGCTGTCACCCCCCCACAGGGACACGCCACCTCCCCGTGATGACCTTGCTGTCACCCGCCCACAGGGACACGCCCCCTCCCCGTGATGACCTTGCTGTCACCCCCCCCACAGGGACACGCCCCCTCCCAGTGATGACCTTGCTGTCACCCGCCCACAGGGACACGCCCCCTCCCCGTGATGACCTTGCTGTCACCCGCCCACAGGGACACGCCCCCTCCCCGTGATGACCTTGCTGTCACCCTCCCACAGGGACACGCCCCCTCCCCGTGATGACCTTGCTGTCACCCGCCCACAGGGACACGCCCCCTCCCCGTGATGACCTTGCTGTCACCCGCCCACAGGGACACGCCCCCTCCCCGTGATGACCTTGCTGTCACCCGCCCACAGGGACACGCCCCCTCCCCGTGATGACCTTGCTGTCACCCGCCCACAGGGACATATGCCCACCTCTCAGGGGATGACGCCAAGGCACTGGTGAGCACAGTGTGGACAGATGCTGGGAAGAGGCACTTCCCAGAGCTCTGAGCTGCCCTCCCAGGCTTCCCGGGATAGCGGGCAGAGACCCCAGAAGACAGAGCCTAGAAAACTGCACCAGGGGCTCTTTCTCAGGACCGGGCACCCACAGTGACTCAACAATGCTGTCCACGGCCAGACAGTGCCTTCTGAAATGCTGCTGTCCCGGGACCCTCACAGCCCAAGCTCACATGGGATGAAAACGCCTAACTCCTACCTGGGATGGTCAGGTAGGCGGGGGCAAGCAGGGACTCAGGGCGAGAGTACCGGAGTATGTGGTCAGGAGTAGGGGCCATGGGGACAGCACAGCCAAAATAATTCTCATCCTATCCCAGGATCCACTGCTGTCCTGGCCTCTGGCCCCCTGGGGTGCCTGCATCACAGTTGACGGTCTCACTGACAGAGATCCCAGTGACAGAGATCCCTGGGCTTCCCCCGACTTCCTTCTCCCGGGCTGGCTGCTCCTCACCTCCTTGCCTGCTCCACTCCAGCAGGCATGGGGGCTCAGCCCACACACCATTGGTCCCCAGGTTGTGTGACTGCCCCCCCACCGTGTCCATCCCAGCATGACACTCACTCGCATGTGCACGTCTCTTGGCTTCTCCAAAGCCAAGTCTCAGTTCCCCACCCAGGCCATCTACAGCTGAGCAACGTGCACCAGCCTCTGTTCCAAGCCAGAACCCCTGGGCATTGTCCACCTGATTGCTGTCTCACACACACAGCCATCTGCTGGGAAACCCAAACCCTGCTGGCACTAATCTACAGCCCCGCATAGACACCCTCCCCGCACTGGGCTGTGGCAGTCATCTGCTGGTGCCCTTACCGCCTGGGTCCATCCACCCCATTGCAGCCGCCTGAGCTCTGCTGTACTCACATCTGCAGGGGTCCACCTCACCCAGAGTCAACACCAAAGTCCCCACAGGCCAGCCCTGGCCTCCTCCTTGCTCCTGGAGCCCTCAGAGCCCCGCGCCTCAGTCTCCCCATCTGCAGCATGGGTGTCCCCTCCCACCCCCCGCCTGCTACCCAGAGCCCAGGGCCAGGCATACAGACCCATCTAGGTGGCCCAGCTCCTTCTCTACCCTGAGGTGACTTAGGGAGGTCATGCCCCAGGCCTCAGTCCCTCACCTGCCTGTTGAGGCCTGGGCTTGCTGGGTAGGAGCAGGCCTCACCCCCGGCCAGCCTGTGTCTTAGCCTCATCCTCCCATCTTCCTCACCTCCTGAGGATAGGGCAGCTGCAGTGCAGGAGAGGGTGCGAGTGGGCGGGGGCCCCGAGGCAGCCCACGCCCCAGTGCCTGCTGCTTCTCAGCCCAGAGAAGGGACTTTCACCCCAAGGGCCCAGTCTCTGACTCGCCCCAGGAGGACCCTAGGTGCCCCTCACAGATGGAAATGGGGTCCCTCAGGCAGCACCTCCTGGGAGTCCTCTCCTCTCCACCAATGACAAGCAAGACCTTCAGGGTAGAGTTGTGGCAGCCACACCTCCAGAGACCCCTTGGCTGCTCCTGGACCACACAGCTGCTCAGGGAACTTTAACCTCTGGCCCCCTCCACACAGCCTGGTATGACCCCTGCAGGCACTCACCTGTCACTCGCACACAGAAGGGCACAGTACACACAACCTGGGTGAGCCGCTGCCAGCAGCTATTGGCCTCAGCGTTCTCTCGAAGGCATTGAGCACCAGCAGCCACCGCTGCTGAACATCAGGATGCAGTTCAGGACACCAGCCCTGCCCCAACCTTGACCCAGACAGGGGGTGTCATGGGACCACTGCTGGGTGGGTGGCAGCTCAGCTCCAAGGTGTCCCCATTGGTTAAGAGTAAATATTCCTACTGGCCAGAATCAGGCACTGGGATCTCTGCCAGGGAGATGGTCAACTGTGATGCAGGGACCCCAAAACCTGGCACTCCAGGACTCAACACCCCCATAGGGAGGCCCCATGGCACCCCCACTTTACAGGCACACCAGCAGAGGCCACTGGAGCCCTGAGTGAGGAAGGAGCCAGCCCAGAGCCTGGGGTCTCAGCAGACAGTGCTCAAAACCAGGCATGGGCTGGAAACTCCCTAAAGAGCCGAGGGTCAATATTTTCAACTTTGTCAATGCATCCGTCTCAAGGACGGGGCCCTGCAGTTGCAGCGTGACCGCAGCCTTCCACAGACAACATGTGAATGAACAGGCAAGGCTACACTCCCAGAAAACTTTACTATGGACATGGAAACTTCTAATTGGAAAGTGTCATAAAGTGTTCTTCTTCTTTTGATTTTTTTTTTTCCCATCACACACATCAGAGAACAAAACTGCTGTGCCAGGATAGGGTGAAAATGTTCCCCTCCTGCTGTGGGTCCCACAGCACCTGCTCCTGCCAGCACCCCCACCCCACAAGGTGCTGACCCAACCAGGGTGCCACATGCCAAGAACCGCCCAAAGGCTGTGGCAACCTGGAAGTGCTGTTCAGCGCCTGGGCATGTTTCCCGGTCACAGTCTCCCTGACTTTGCTGGTCACTGGCCCTGTGCCTGTTTTTCCCACTGTGGCAAAAGGTGATCTCACCCCGAAGGCAGGAGGGTCTGACAGTAGAGGGCGGAGATATTTCCTGTCCTGGGTCTCCTGCCCAGAGATCACTGTTCATCAGGCCATGGCTAGGCCAGTCTGCTGGGGGAACTGTGTTCCCTGTCCCCTGCCTTGGGAGTCTAGTGGCCAGATCCAGGTTGTTACAGTTAAGAGCCCCCAGTGTACTGGGGGAAGCCCCGGGGGGAGGGGGTGGGGATGGAGGTGGAATGATGCTCCATCAAAAGGGCCCTGGGGTGGGTCCCAGAGAACAAACATCAAATTGAGGCCCTTTTCTGAAGCTGGCTGCCCAAGGAATTTGCGTTTTGGAGTAAGATGAGAACATGGGGTCAGGGAAGAAAGCATTTTGGTTTTGGAAATGCACAAAGTTCTCTGAGGCTCTCTGAGGTCCAGATGTTTCGCTAGGTATGTGCTTTAAAAGGGCCCAGGAGGAGTGGGGGCGCCCAGAAGGGACAATGCAGCCAGGGGCCAAGGTCTGGCCTGCCTGCCTCCCCACCTACAGGCATTCCAGAGTTTCGTACAAAGTCAGAAAGATGTGCGGCCAAGGAGGGCTAATGCGAGTTTATTTGGATTGTCCAGTTTAATCGTCAAAACACCCCTGACATACGGGTCCTTCCTGGCAGGTGAGGAAACTGAGGTTCGAGTAGGGCATCCAGAGCTGGGGCGGGCAGTTGGCAGCCTGCAGCCCCTGAGGTCCCGGCAGATCTTCCCTGGCCCCCAGCCAGGCACGCTGCACACTCCAGCTCATTCACCTGCCAATCACCTGTCCAGGACTCAGGCCGGCGGGGCCTCCCGTCCTCCCGCCAGCCCCCTTGCTCATCGCTGGGGCCTCCCTGCGAGGCTGTCAGCGGCCGAGGTGGGGGCCCTTGCCGGGGTGAGGAGCCGATCGTCCACCGGATCAGGCCCCCTGCAGCAGCCCGCCTGGAGCCCGAGCATGGCCGGGCGGGGAAGGGGCGGCGGCACCGGAATTGCTCCGCCCAGCTAAGGCCGGGGCCGTGGCTCCTGTGCAAGATGGGCCTGTGCACCCTCCAGCCCCTGGGCCCTCCTCGAAAATCCTCCACATCCTGCGGGACCTGGACCGCCAGCGGCCTCCCAAGCCTGGGCCATTTGCCCCGTCGCCTCCGCCTGGCATTCGACTTCTTAGAACCGCGGGCACGAGGGCAGCGTGGGGGCAGTGGTGGCTGTCAGTCCACGCGGGCCGCCGAGAGGACGCGCCCACCCCACCCTCCAAACGCCGTCCTCCTGCTTCAGCCAGAGCCGTCCCTGACATGGGCCCAGGGACGCGGCTGCAGAGGCCACTTCCGGTCACTCCCCGCTGCGGCCTCGCGCTCCGGGAGCCGCACCCTCCGCTGCGCCAGCTCCGACCGCAGTCTTCGGGAGCAGAAGCAGCGCCGCGCGGGCCCTGACCCCACACCCTCCCCGGCGCCTCCGCCTGCAGGACCCCGGCCCTCCCCGGGCTCGCTGGGTCCCTCCGCCCCGGCCGCTCCCCGCACCGCGCGCGGTGCCTACGAGCTCCAAGGCGGCGCCAGCCAAGACGGTCCCGGCCAAGCGGCGGTGGGTGCGACCCCCACCACGGGCCCCGGCACCGGCGGGGAGGGCGCGCTCCTAGGCTGCGGGAGCGGACGGACCCCTCCGACTTCGGCCACCTGGCGCCGCCGCCTCCTCCCCGCCGAAGTCCCTCCCGGGGCAGCCGCCGCAAACTTTCCGGAGCGGGAGCGACTGTGAACCCGAGTCCTCCCGGCGCCCCGGGCCCTTCGCGCGCCTGCCGGTCCCCGTAGCCCGGCCCTGCGCCCGCCCGGGCCCCACTACTGCGGCCGAGCGATCCGGCGTGACCGCGGGACCCACAGGGCGCCCCTGCCCCGCGGCTCTCTCCACCCCCGCGCGCTGGGGCTGCGGCGCCGTGTCTGGCGCGAGGCTGGGGGCCGAGGGTGCGTAGTCGGGGGAGACAGCCGGTCCTAGGGGGCCCTTTGGCCGGGCGCGGGGGCTCACGCCTGTAATCCCAACCACTGGGGAGACTGAAGCGGGAGGAGCGCTTCAGTGCAGGAGTTCGAGAGCTGGTGGGGAAACCAGCCCCACACCACCCGGCGGGTACCCCGAGTCCGGCGCAGACAAAGGATTTAGAAAGAGAATCACAGTTTAACCGGCGGGTCCAGGGGACCAGGGCGTCGGAGGCTTGCTCGCGGCCCCGAGCTCTCGGCCTCCACCCAATTTATTGGTTTACCAGCTCTTCGTTCTTAGGGCAAATGGGAGGGGTGAGAAGGGATGAGGAAAAGGATTAATCAATGAAGGAGAACTCGTGACTCATTTAATAAGATGTGTAGCCGTGGCGGTTTCTGTGAATTTCCTCTAGCAAAGGCGTGTGTCTAAACTATTTAAGATCTTTACCTTATCCGGACTGAAATGCGTGGGAGCGGGTTTCAGGAGCAGCCAAGATGTTTGATTGTACTCCACTGCTTCAAGGGAGTGTTATCTCCGCCAGCACCTGTGGCATGCGTAAAGACATGAAGGCAAAAAGGAGACTTTTCTCCTCAGAGGCCGCCCATGGCTTCCCATGGATGTCTCACGCAGGGGGGACCAACTCATCTGGCATTCCAGAAACTCTCTTTCCCACATATGTCCCCCTTTTTTTGTCTCTATTAATTTTTTTTTTTTGAGATGGAGTCTCGCTCTGTCGCCCAGGCTGGAGTGCGGTGGCGCGATCTCGGCTCACTGCAAGCTCCGCCTCCCGGGTTCACGCCATTCTCCTGCCTCAGCCTCCCGAGTAGCTGGGACTACAGGCACCCGCCACCGCGCCCGGCTAATTTTTTGTAATTTTAGTAGAGACGGGGTTTCACCGTGTTAGCCAGGATGGTCTCGATCTCCTCAACTTGCGATCCGTCCGCCTCGGCCTCCCAAAGTGCTGGGATTACAGGCGTGAGCCACTGCGCCCGACTCTATTAATTTTTTTTTTATTAATAACCGCCATTGCTATTTCGTTCACTGTGTCTGGCTTCTCTACCAAGGCGCCGTCGGCATCTGTAGACTAAAAATAAACAGCATAAACAGACACAAACCAAAATAAAATTTGCAATTGTTGATCCACCTATGGTTTTAATCCACTTTAAAGGATTAGTGTTAGAAAGGCCATCAGCGGCTCCAGTAAGAATATCAGCTCCAGGCAACAGGCTGAGATGAGCCTGAGATGCCTCAAAAAGCTGTCTTTTCGGTTTAGCAATATCTAATGTTAAATTATCTTCTTTTCCTTGTAGGTGACGTCTAATCATCTCCCAATCGTGTTCAGTGGCATTGTAAGAGCTAGGAGTAATACAAAACTCAGAAGTATTCCAATCACATTGCATTTGAATTCTATGCTCCAAGCTCATAATCCGATCTCCCATCCAAATTACTGTTTGACGGAGATCATTAATTTGATTTGCCAATTTTTGATCTATTTGGCTTTGGGAATTCCAAAGCTTAGAATAATTTTTCTGCCAACTACCCACAAAGTCCGCAGTTTGAATAGAAGAGTGCAAAGCAACACCAGCAAGGCCCAGGACCACAGCTATTAAAGTAAATAGGAATCTCTTTGATCTATTAAGTATTCCTTTTAGTACTTCAGTGATAATATGTATGGAGGGACAGGCCTCCCAAGGTCTATTGAGGAAAACAGGTATCCAAACTCCTTCTCGGGCCCTAACCAGTAAAATGCTATTATCTTTATTAAAGGCAGAAATAATGCAGGTAAAAAGACGACAGTTGAGGCATGATATGGTTTGAGAGTCAGGTAAGATATTAATTTTTCCCACTGCCAACATAAAAGGAGGTTTAACACAACTCTGCAATGGGACCATCTGATTAGAGGTCATGGCTACAACAAATCGAAGTTTTTTACTATGGGTCTCTGTTTTACATTCTGCTTTCCAAATCCGAATTGGGCTTTGAGCCATCATTAATTTCCACAATTCTGGATGTTCTGGGCTTATAATTGGATCAATAATTTTTGGGCTTGGAGGAGCCATACCGTTCTCCTCCCACTTAATAGGGTAATTTGTTTCAATTCTTCTATGTAATTTTGGTGCATTATCTGGGTAGTCGTTTGCAAAATAGTCTCTCTACAATCTTCACTCTGTCCAGTACAATTTACTGCAAATTGTCCCCTAGGGGCCCAATCAATGATGATTCCATAGGAATTATTTTGTAGTACAGCAGCACTGTTTGCAATATAATCTTCCCAGGTTAGCACCTCTAGCTTTTCTGACCGTTTAATAACAGGAGGTTCTTATTAGGTTTAAATTTATTAATCTGGCGATGTGTCACAACATAGCCATGCTCAAGGTATTTAATAGTGTCCAAAGATTGAAATGTTCTTCCACTGATTGCATGAATAAAGGCTTTTGATCCGTTATGTGCAGGAACATAAACCATCCAACTTTGTGTATCATAATTTAAAAATCCTGCTGCTGGCCCCAGGCAGATGGCAGGAAAGCGATAACCAATAGAAACATTCATTAACATTCCTCCTCCTCCTCCTTCCTCCTATTACAAAAATAGGTGTAATTTTGATCTGCCTCTGCTACAGGAAGACTCACCACCAAGGAGATTACCGCCATCATAGCTACCATTAGATTACTGGTGGTCAGCGGCTTGTTCTGAGACCTCAGGTTCTCTTCTGCAATGTGAGCCAGTCTCTTCATCTGCCCCCAGGTCGGTGGAGTTGCTTGGGGAGTTTTACTGGTTTCCATCTGCTCAACAGAGATGTTCATCTGAGCCGTCTGACGAACTGGGGGCGCAGAGACATTCTGAGGTCTTTTCCTCTTCTTGGACTCTGTCTCATGGCACAGCTTAAGATGTCTTGTGGGTACCCAGACAGGAAGCTGATTCTCTCCTGGTGAAATACAAGCAAATCCTCAACCTCAACAAGACCCACTGGGGCCTTTTGTTTGGGCCAGTTTTTTGGCCATTGGTAAAGAGCTATGATCGACACATCTGCTCCTATGTTGACCAGACCCTCAAATTGTTTTCCTTGAATGGTGACCATACAAATAGGTCTATTGTCAGAGACTTGATTTACCCAATAGGCAGCCTTGCCTGCTGAATTTGTGCTTCCAAATCCTCCTATTCTTTTTTCTGAGCTTTCTCCTAACTTAACATACGGCAAAAGCAACAGTTGAGCTATTCTGTCACGTGGATTAGCACTCCAGGGAACAGTGGAGGAGATAACAATTTGAATTTCTCCGTAGCAATCAGAGTCCACTACTCCTGTATGTACTTGAATTCCCTTTAAGTTGGACCTTCCCAGTATAAGTCCCACCGTGCCATTTGGCAGTGGGCCATAAACTCCTTTTGGGACCTTCCTGGACTGCGGCTGGCTTCCCAAAGTGGGGAAGAGGGCTGGTTGAAACCTGCCTCAATCCATTTGGGAACACTCCATTTGGAGTCAGGGATGTCCCGTCCTGAATTGGGAATGCCCCGTTTTGAATTGGGGCCCGGTCCTGAGTTTTGCCTTTTTTGCCTCTTTGTACACTCTCTTTTTGTATGTCCTATCTGTCCACAATTATAGCAAGACCTGGGGAACACTCATGTGTTTTTTGTTACCCTTAGTCCAGCCATTGCCTGAGCAAGGAAGCTGGCCTTATATAAGTGCTCCCCAATGCCATCACAGGCTTTAATGTATTCACTTAAAGCTTTTTCCTCATTTAGATCTGCCTTTCCTTTAATAGGTCTAATTGCTGCCTGACATTCTGTATTAGCATTTTCATCAGCAAGCAGCTGAACGATCACTTTCCTGGCATGAAAATCTGAAATAGCCTTTTGAGCCGCATCTTACAAACGGGCAATAAAATCTGGATAAGGCTCCCTTGGACCCTGTCGAACTGAGTTAAAACACGGATAAGTTGTACCAGGGTTGTGAATTTTTTCCCAGGCTCTTAGGCATATAGTTCTGACCTGATCAACAACCTCATCACCCATTACCATTCTGTTGATTTAGAGTACCCCATGTGATTCCAAGCAATTGATCAGATGTGATATTAACGGGACGTTGGACTTGAGCATTTCTGCATGCCCGATTTGTTGCTTCATCTGTCCACCAGGTTTTAAATTGGAGAAATTCAGAGGGGGACGGAGTGGATTGGGCTAGTGCCTCCCAATCCATAGGTATTAAACGCCTGTTATAAGCCACAGATTGTAACAAGGAATGAACATAAGGAGAATTTGGCCCATATTGTCCAATTGCTTGCTTTAAGTATTTTAATATTTTAAAAGGAAGTGGCTGCCAGCATGCTTGAGCATGTTCTCTGGGCTCCTCAACTGGCGAATTAATTACCAGAAACTGCAAAGCATCCAAATCCCCCATTTCTCATGCCTGGCGAATGGATGACGGGATTGTCCCCGTGCCATAATTTGTATTTGGACCGGCTCGCAGCATTCCTCTACCACAATTAACAGGTGGTAGAGGATCATTCCCTGATCGTAATTGGCTGTTAGGCGAGCCTGAAGCTTCCCTTCGCCATAGTTATTGGTGGGGCCTGCAACAATGGGAGCGGCAAGCCGCGTCTCAGGCTCCAGTTCCAAAAATTTGTAAGGCTGAGCCGGGGGTGGCCATTCCAGACCTTCCCCTAAAGGCGAAGTAGGTGGCACTGTTTCTTTTATAAGTTTTTGGAGATTAGCATATATACCTTCCCGTTTCTCGGCCTTTTTAAAACTAGACTGTGATGGTTGATTTTGCTGATCATTAGACTCCTGATTATTAAAGTTTTCTATGTCATCCTGAAGCTCCTCCTCAGTGTGGAAGGGCTCCAGTGCTGTTTTAATTGCAGGCCACGCAGACCAAGCAAGAAGGGAATATCGTGGCCCTCTTGTTGTGCTCGTTTTAAGTCTGATCCGACCTTGTCCCAGTCTTTTACATTCATGGTTCCATATTCCGGGAACCAAAGAGAATACTTTTTTACCAGATAGAACAAAGATGGGAGATTTTGGGTACTCACAATTACCCCTCCGCGGCGCAGTAACTGCCGGACAAGGCTTCAGTAATTAGCAAACTTACTCTCAGCCTGACCCATAGTTTCCGGAGGTTACCCTGGAATTTTCCGAGCGCCCTACTTACCTGTAGAGCTTGAAGTGAAAACGTACTCGGGCGTCCTTTGTCAGTCATCCTCCACTTTCCACTCTCTGGCATTCCTTCACTGGATTATTTGTAGAGATTACCGGGAGCCCGGCGTTGGGCACCAGAGACCAGCCTGGGCAACTGAGGGAGACCCCATTTCTACGAAAAAAAAAAAAAAAAAATTAGGCAGGCGTGGTGTCCAGTGCCTGTAATCCCAGCTACTCCATGAGAGATTGGACAAAACCTGGGACCAGAGACTGATTTTCTTCTAAAATGCTTTCTCCAAAATATTTTTAAAAGAAAAGGGGGAAATTGGAAAGGAAAATGTTTTGAGCCCCCCAGATCACTAAGCTAAAGGGGAAAGTCAATCTGGGAACTGCTTAGGGCAAACCTGCCTCCCATTCTATTCAGAGTCATCCCCTGCTCACTGAGATGAATGCATATCTTATTGCCTCCTTTGGAAAGGCTAATCAGAAACTCAAAAGAATGCAACCGTTTGTCTCTCACCTACCTGTGACCTGGAAGCCCCCTCCTGGCTTCGAGTTGACCCGCTTTTGCTTCAGGTTGTCCCGGATCAAACCAGTGTTCATCTTACATATGTTGATTGATGTCTCCTGTTTCCCTAAAATGTATAAAGCTGTCAGATACAGTCAGTTTCTCTTCCAAGGTTTGGCATGTTAACTTTCTTGTTTTTTTGTTTTCGAACTCAACTTTCTTGTTCTCCATGCCTCCTTGCCCTTAGTTACTGTAAACAACCTTCCGTCAGTTCTAATCAATAACTCACATCTGTTCCCTTGGTTACCTGCTCTGCACCCATTTCTCCCTTGGAAACCGCAAGTCCCACCATTGTAACTCACATCCCCCTTCCCCCTTCCTTATTTGGGAAAATATTCACAAATAGCCAACCGGGTCAGTTTAGATCGTGCGGTCTGACCCCAGCCCATGCCAGAGGTAGGGACTGCGTTAGGAATAAAAACCCCTGCTTTCCTCTGTTCAGTGTGCTCTTGCGATCGTGATTGATGCGAGCAGCACGCTTCTGCAGAAGTAAATTGCGTTGCTGAGAAAACTTTCGCTTGAGTGCTGGTTTCACTTTGCGGCACCGAGCATTTCTCTCCAACAAAACCAAGCTGTGCTCTGACCACCTTGGGCACATGTCATCAAGGACATCCTGAGGCTGTGTCATGCATATGCATCCCCAACCTTGGCAAAATAAACGTTCTAAATACTCTTACCCCAAATGCTCAGGGAGACTGATTTGAATAATCATAAAACTCCAAGCCTGCACTCCAGCCTGGGAGACAGAGCAAGATTCTGTTTCAAAAAAATAAAATAAAATAAAAAAACTCCGGTCTCCCGCACAGAGGACACTGCGTGAATTACTCTTTCTCTATTGCTATTCCCCTGTCTTGAGAAATCGGCTCTGTCTAGGTAGCGGGCAAGGTGAACTCCCTGGGCAGTTACAGAACTGTCATTATATTGCTTCCAATTTTATATATATATATATATATAAAAGGCACAAATAGCTATAACTTGTATACAGGTTAAATGTGAATGTCCTTCTTGCATGGTCGGATCCCAGCGCAGGAAGGACGCACCGCCTACAAACCGCTAGGCCAAAAGCGGTCATTCTGACCTCATCCAGCCTCACGTGAGATCGCAATCTCCTGTCACTCAGGGCCTGAGGGGCGGGGCCTGAAGCCCCATCCAATCAGGGGCGCTGGGGTGGGGACCGTTCAATCAGGCGCGCCGCCGGAAAGGAGAGGGCGGCTTCCGGGATCTGCCTGGCGGTTGCTTTGTCTCTCCTTCGCCGGAGCCGGCTCTTCCTGTTAGTCTCCGCTGCTAGTTCTTGGCTCTGGGAGGCCCAGGTGGCTCTGCAGCAGCCTCTGCCACCCTGTGACCTGCGAGTATTGGGACATCCCTAGCTGACGCCAGGACACCCGGGAAGCCGAGGAATGGTGAGTGGACTGCGCCTGGCTTCCCGAAGTGGAGAAGAGGGCTGGTTGAAACCTGCTGTGGCGCGACTCGGGCCTCCACGCCATCGGCTCCGGAACCTGCGGACCGAGTCGCCGTGGCGTAGCCGGGGCTCAGTCCTCTTCTGTTCAGGGCCGGGCCGGGCGGGGCGGGCAGCGGAACCCCTGCATCCTGTCTGTACCTGCGGGCGCCACTTCCGCCGGCCGGAGCCCTGTCGGGAACCCCTCGCCTCCCCTATCCAGGTAGTGTGGTGACCACGGGAGGGTGATGCGGGAGAGCCCCGACTCGGTGTCTCGGTGTGCGGGGTTCCAGCATGGGAGGAGCTGTGGTTCATGGGGCTTCCAGTCCCACCTTTCTTCCCCTAAAATTAAGCCGAGGCTTTGTTAAAACGTTAAACCGTGTGTTTGAGCAAACGGCGATTCATAAACCAGGTACCGCAGTCATGGTTTGTGGTTTGGGGTCCACAGAAGGGGCGTAAATGAGAGGCTTTGATAAGGTTAATGAGGAAGCAAACCATATTCTTTTTTTTTTTTTTTTTTTTTTTTTTTGGAGACGGAATCTCGCCCTGTCGCCAGGCTGGAGTGCAATGATGCAGTCTCACTCATTGCAACCTCTGACTCCCGGGTTCAAGCGATTCTCCTGCCTCAGCCTCCCGAGTAGTTGGGATTACAGGCGCCCGCCACCACGCCCAGCTAATTTTTGTATTTTTGGTAGAGACAGGGTTTCGCCATGTTGGCTAGGTTGGTCTCGAACTCCTGACCTTAAGTGATCCGCCCGTCTCGGCCTCCTAAAGCGCTGAGATTACAGGCGTGAGCCACCGCGCTCGGCCAAAATATTTTTCTGTTTACAAACATTTTACATGAGAGGAAAGCGGAGAATAAACCATCTGACACTCTACTGTAAAAAAATCTTTGTGCCTCTCTTCATCTTTCCTAAGTGTGCATATTACCAAAATGTCTTTAGGTTGATGTCCCCCTGTGAAAACTTTACAGGGTGTTGTGTCCTCAGCCCTTGGTCTGCTTGCTCATCTCTCTGCTAATACTGTGCTGTCCTGAATATTTTTGGTTGAAAATCTTAAAAGTATGTTAGGCAAGACATAACTCTTTTTTTAGATGACTGAAAATCATTAGACATTTGTCATTTTTACTAGGTATGAAAAACTAGTTTTTCTTGCCTAAAAAAGCCTGATTTGGGAATTTATGTGATTTCACAGGAATAGCATCTGGAAGTGGTGACATTAATGTCATTTTAAAAAACATGTGCCATATTTCCTCTTATTCCATTCTGCCTTGACATTGTGCAATAGAAATTTAAAAATTGTATTAGTAAATTGTTAAATATCAATTATTGGTTTTATTTACTACTCAATTAAATTTAATAAGCCTATTCTCTCTTGGTGTAATCACATGGAATGGGCTCAACTCCCCAATTAACAAGTGACAGCACATATAAAATATTGTCTACCAGGGAAACTCATTAAACACTTAGTGTTCAGACTGTGTTTTGGTGTCTGGTTCCCTAAGCACCACTGCAGTGACACAAAATAATAGACCTTTAGCAGAAAAAGTTTTGGCAACTATATTGCATAAACCATTTAGATGCAGTGAGTCATTCTTATTACTTAGGTTGGTGGAATCCCTTTCAAAATGTAAGTTACTAATACAAACAAAGATTGAACTTTGTGAGCAGGCATTTTTAAGAATAAGTAGTCTTAGGACTGATATTATTAACTCACTTATGCACATCAGGTAGGACTTTATTATGGCAGATACTAGAAATGTACGAAGTGAAATTAAGAGGTAACCTAGCAGCACATCTTACTCCCTGGATTCTCTAATGAGATGGGTATTTCCACTTTGCTGTTGCCTTTTTGAATAGTTCAATTCTAGCATTAGTACTGCTGTGTGGGAGGGAGTATGTGTGAACAGAGTAAGAGTTGTGACAATCAAGTCATAGAATAAATGCTTGGAAATTATCAAATCATGTAAACAGCTTATGAATTGAGTATAGATTCCCAGTGCTGTCAGTCTCACCCATCCTTCTATCCACATGTGTGGAATGTTCTAGGACTCGGTGGCTTTTGAGGATGTGGCTGTGAACTTTACCCAGGAGGAATGGGCTTTGCTAGATTCTTCTCAGAAGAATCTCTACAGAGAAGTGATGCAGGAAACCTGCAGGAACCTGGCTTCTGTAGGTAAGAATGACAACACATTTCAGTTAATTACAGAAGTCTTTCCCTATCATCAGTGCTATTTATGATTTGGAATGTGGCAAGGGAATGATTTGGTGAATAAATCAGGCATGGGCACTGTGTACAGTGAACATTAAATCTAGTAATGTGTCTACAGTTTGTAATAATTCATGATAATTTTATGGGTCTGCATTTTAGGAAGCCAATGGAAAGACCAGAATATTGAAGATCACTTCGAAAAACCTGGGAAAGATATAAGGTAATTTGCACTGAGCAGAGGAAATAAAGTCCTCTGAAGGAATCTTAGCATGTCATGAACTTAAAAACAAGCAATCAAAACAAATAAGAGTCACTTGAAATTTATTTATTTTTAGAAAAATTTCACCCAAAATGTAACGTACTTCAATGTAGCAGTCAGTGTTTGCAAAAGAGTTTACTTGAAAATAGTACTACAAAACTGTGTATATGAATATTACTATTTTGGTCATAGCCATGCAGGTGGTAGCTGTGTTTTCAGTAGTAACCCATTTACTTTGAAATAATTCAGTCATGGCAAAAAAAAAAATGCATTTTCCCTGATATTGGTAGCAGTGTAAGTCCAAGACCTATTAATAAGTAGAAAGTTATTAATAAACCAACCAATAATAATGTGCTTGTCATTTTTTTACAGAAATCATATCGTACAGAGACTGTGTGAAAGTAAAGAAGATGGTCAGTATGGAGAAGTTGTCAGCCAAATTCCAAATCTTGATCTGAACGAGAACATTTCTACTGGATTAAAACCATGTGAATGCAGTATTTGTGGAAAAGTCTTTGTACGTCATTCCCTCCTTAATAGGCATATCCTAGCTCACTCAGGATACAAACCATATGGAGAGAAGCAATATAAATGTGAACAGTGTGGGAAATTCTTCGTTTCTGTTCCAGGTGTTAGAAGACACATGATAATGCACAGTGGAAATCCAGCTTATAAATGTACGATATGTGGGAAAGCTTTTTATTTTCTCAATTCAGTTGAAAGACATCAGAGAACTCACACAGGAGAAAAACCCTATAAATGTAAACAATGTGGTAAAGCATTCACTGTTTCCGGTTCTTGTCTAATACATGAACGAACTCACACTGGAGAGAAACCCTACGAATGTAAGGAATGTGGGAAAACATTCAGATTTTCTTGTTCTTTTAAGACGCATGAAAGGACTCACACTGGAGAAAGACCCTATAAATGTACCAAATGTGATAAAGCCTTCAGCTGTTCCACTTCCCTTCGTTACCATGGAAGCATTCATACTGGAGAGAGACCCTATGAGTGTAAACAATGTGGCAAAGCCTTTAGTCGTTTGAGTTCCCTTTGTAACCATAGAAGTACTCATACCGGAGAGAAACCCTATGAATGTAAACAATGTGATCAAGCCTTCAGTCGCCTCAGTTCCCTTCACCTCCACGAAAGAATTCATACTGGAGAAAAACCCTATGAATGTAAGAAATGCGGTAAAGCCTACACTCGTTCCAGTCACCTTACTCGCCATGAAAGAAGTCATGATATAGAGGCTGGGTGTAGTGACTCAGCCTATAATCCCAGCACTTTGGGAGGCCAAGGCGTGTGGATTGCTTGAGCCCAGGAGTTCATAACCAGCCTGGATTAAAACAATGTGAAACAACCTGGGCAACATGGTGAAACCCTGTCTTTACAAAAAATAAAATAATGCCGGGCACGGTGGCTTACGCCTGTAATCCCAGCACTTTGGGAGGCCGAGGCGGGTGGATCACGAGGTCAGGAGATCGAGACCATCCTGGCCAACACGGTGAAACCCCGTCTCTACTAAAAATACAAAAAATTAGCTGGGCGTGGTGGCAGACGCCTGTGGTCCCAGTTACTCGGGAGGCTGAGGCAGGAGAATGGCATGAACCCGGGAGGCGGAACTTGCAGTGAGCCGAGATCGCACCACTGCACTTCAGCCTGGGTGACAGAGTGAGACTCTGTCTCAAAAAATAAGATAAAATAAAATAAAAAAATAATTAGCTGGGCATGGTGGCACATTGCAGTTGTCTTAGTTGTTTTTCAAGGACATGAAAAGCCGTGCGCAGCAGGCGGGGAAGCCCTGTGCATGCAGATCACGAGGTCGGGAGATTGAGACCATCCTGGCCAACATGGTGAAACCTCGTCTCTACTAAAAACACAAAAATTAGCTGGGTGTGGTGGCATATGCTTGTAATCCCAGCTACTCAGGAGGCTGAGGCAGGAGAATCGTTTGAACCGGGGAGTTGGAGGTTGCAGTTAGCTGAGATGGCACCACTGCACTCCAGCCTGGTGACAGAGTGAGACTCCATCTCAAAAAAGCCCTATGCGGCTGGGCATGGTGGCTCACGCCTGTAATCCCAGCACTTTGGGAGGCCGAGGTGGGTGGATCACAAGGTCAAGAGATCGAGACCATCCTGGCCAACATGGTGAAACCCTGTCTCTACTAAAAATACAAAAATTAGCTGGGTGTGTTGGCGGGTGTCTGTAGTCCCAGCTACTCAGGAGGCTGAGGCAGGAGAATCACTTGAACCCAGGAGGCAGAGGTTGCAGTGAGCTGAAATTGTGCCACTGCACTCCAGCCTGGCAACAGAGTGAGACTCCGTCTCAAAAAAAAGGCCTTATGCGTGTAAGAAATGTGGTAAAGCATTTACTCTTTCCCATTCCCTCATAAACATGAAAGAGCTCACACTTCAGAAAACCTTAAGAATGTAGGAAATGTGGTCAAGCCTTCAGATTTTCCTATTTTGAAGATTTGGGAGGACTCAGAGTGGAGAAGAGCCTTTTAAATTTAAATTTGTGTTAAGGCCTTCAGTTGTTTTAGTTCCGTTTGAAGACATCAACTCATTCCTGAGAAAAACCCTATGAATGTCCAGAATGTGGGAATGTTTTCATTTCTCTCATATCTGCTCAAGGACATGTGAAAATGCACACTGCAGCTGGACCTTGTAAATACAAAAATGTACACAGGATTACAACTAATATTTAGAAACTGCAAGAATATTTTCAGTTTTAACATTTATTTGAAAAGTCGTGAAAACTCCCACTGGAAAGAAGTTCTATAAGTGAAGTTTTTCTAATTTGGAAAGCCTGATGCAAATTAATTATCGTGCGGTGCTTGAAAAAAATGTACATGTATGAAATGTTACACAAGTTGCAAGTATATTGTTTTCATCAGTGGCTCATTCTTAAAGAGTCTTGAGTATGCATTTCACTTTATTTTGCAGGAAAACCTTGAGGTGAGAGTTCTGTAAATGCTTTTTAAGCAGTACTTGAATTTCATAGTAATGATACTTTCTTCAGTTTGTTGGTAGAATTTTTGTCTGTTCATTTGATAATGTGCTGGATTCATGGTTGAATTTTGATGTTTTTCTAATATGTAGGTAAGTTTAATTTTTTTATTTTATTATTATTTTTTTGAGATGGAGTCTCACTCTGTTGCCCAGGCTGGAGTGCAGTGGTGCGGTCTTGGCTCACTGCAACCTCTGCCTCCTGGGTTTAAGCAATTCTCCTGCCTCAGCCTCCCGAGTAGCTGGGATTACAGGCGCCCACCACTATGTCCAGCTAATTTTTTGTATTTTTAGTAGAGACAGGGTTTCACCATGTTGGCTAGGCTGGTCTTGAACTCCTGACCTCATGATTTGCCCCCCCTCAGCCTCCCAAAGTGCTGGGATTACAGGCATGAGCCACTGTGCCCAGCGGAGTAAGTTTAATTTGTATGTATTGTTCTGTGATTAATGGACCAGTGAGTAATGATTGCTAATTGTTGCGATTTTCTTACTAGCCTCACTTGGCAAATTTTGGTTATCCCTTGTCCATTATACACATTCCACCTTTTTTTATTAAAGGAAAAACTACTCTTGGTGTAAAGATGTTTATTTTTTGCTAATAATGAGTTGGTATTAATTCCTAAGTACATAAAGTTTATCATAGAGTATCATCTCGTGAGTTCTTTGCATTTGTTGCCCTTTATTCTTTATTATTTCTGTCTGTTATTTGCATAGTTCACTTTGAATGAAGGAGAGAGAACTGTGATAGGACAATATGTTGTAACCAGTCTGAGGGAGGAAGCATTCAGTCTCACAGTCACATGTGATAGCGTTGGGTTTTTCATCAATGCCTTTGGTATTGTATATAGTATTACACCGTTACGGTATTATAGTTTGTGTATTTTACAGTATTACAGTCTTACCAGTCAGTGTCACATGATTCAGTTCCCTACCAGCCAACAGACAAACCAATCACATACTCCTGTAGGAACAAAGGAACATCCTCACTTTTTTAATGCTGTACCACTCTCTGCTCCCAAGTTAATCCCTGTTTGGGCCTGTGGGAGCTTACACCATCCTCCTGTATGTAATTAATAACTGATGTTTAGTTTATCTGTTTAGTAATAGATGTCATGTGTTTAACGGTACCAGTAGACATAGGGTGCTAATTCCTTCCTCACCAATGGGGTGCATGAGACGCTATTGAAACAATTGGCAACACAAATGGAATGGAGCAGCCCTCATGCAGGACACCTGCTCAACTTTATCTACCTGCTGTCGGCTGACTGGTTCCGTAACACATCAGAAATCACCTGGGTCAGAACCATGAGCTGACGATGGGCCTTCACTTTGGTCTGCACAGTGTTTTGTTGTCTTCAGGTGTTGTCATCTACTCCCACACTAAAATGCTCTCATCTCCTAGACGTGAATGTTTAATTGCACCCCAGCATGACATTTGGCCTGTGCTTAGCAGGCAGTTTAATGCCCAAAAGCACAGCACATAAACAAGCCAACACCTAAATCCTAATTAGCAAGAATCAGGCTGTATCTCTGTGTCACTGCATCTGCTCTGGTCACCATCACTGTATGCTTAGGGCAGCCACGTGAACATTAATTATTGTACACTCCCAAGACAGTAGTTACCGTTAATGCAGGCAGAAGTAGTGGCCTTGTTTGTTTCTTGTGCTGCTGCTCCCCTTGCTGCTGTCCCATACACCCTCCTCGTGAGGTGTACGTCTGTGGTGCCTCATGATTCAGGCGCTGATGAGTAAAGAAAATGGGAAGAAATAGTTTGATATTAGCCCCTGCCAAAGCATATGAAGAAGCATCTCAGCTGCTTCCATTGAAAAATTCCTAGCCAGTGTGTGGGCTTTTCTTATCACTGCTGCTTATCAGCATGTCAGAAGTCTAATCTTCAGACTGCAAGGCTTGATGGCCTTCGACGTAATGGCCTTACTGCATGTGGAGCTAACCCCAGGAAGACTGAGTGGCACTCTCTGGAGGATTAGGTGGTTTCCTCTAATGTGGGTTGATGGGCTCCTGAACTCTTTCCTTTGACCATGCAGATAGTCTACACTTCCAGTGATCATGTGCCGCAACTCTATATACGCAGAAACTCAAAATATTCTGAAACAGTTTCCATTGTAAGGAAAGAGAAAAGCAGTCAGGTGCCATGCTTCGGTCGAGAAAACTAGTAGATGGCTCACAAGAACACTCTATCGCTACTGTCTGTGCCTCTGTCACAACAAATATCCTGATCCTTCAGTTTTCAGGGTGCAGGGCAGTTTTCCAGGTAGTCTCAGACTGACACAGTTTTCCCCCCTTTCTTACTGGTAGTTCTCACGATAACTGTACAATATGCTGAGAATGCAATATCCTGATAATCAGTTGACATTGGCCAGAACAACCCAGGCTCTGTTATAGTCCCTGCTTGAAACAGAATGGTCCTCAACGCTCCAGCAAATCACATCCTGGGATATAAAACCCAAGGTGGGCTGCTTTCTGGGGTCACTCAGTTGTAGTGCAAGTGAAGCACCTGCAGTCAAGGCTCCATCCATCTGCTCTGGATACTTTCCTGATCTTGTGGTAGCAGTTCATATCGAATCCTAGACTTCTGTTGTCTTTTGTTTCCTATTTGTAAGTAGTAAATTCACTTCATGGGTTTTATGTGTGAATGTGTTTGATCTCGTTCTCAGAAAAGTCGGTAGTCATTGCACAGTGAACCCGCTTCATAATTGGTGAAAACACCTATGGCCCCCTTGTGCCACAGCAAAGAGGTTAATTCAGCCAGACATAAACTTAATGTTCTTAAAACTCTGTAGCACAATTATTACCATGTGGGAGGCCTTTAACAATGGTGATGCTGATTTGAAGAACTCTGAAGGAAGAAATTTACACAAATGGGTTGGGTACGTGGGAGTCCCTCCTAGCTGAAAGCAACCCTTACTCCCCTCCGCCTAAAAAGAGTGGATAAAAACTGAAACGGGTTTAAAATTTCACCTAATTGGAAATACAAAGTTTACTAAAATAATATTTAAAATAAAAGGTTAAATGAGTGCTCATTGAATTTTATGCCTCCACAAAATAGGTTGGGAATTAACTTCAACATTTGTTGAAAGGCACCAAAATTGAGAAGCCTCCGTGTCTGAAATTCACATGTGGCTCAAAGAATATACCTAGGGATACCCCGAAGTTTAAATGTGGTATCCCCTAGGATATTATGACGAATTACTGTACATAAGACAGGTGGTCTTCCTTTAACTCTGAAAACCATATTATGTTGCCTAAATTCTCCATAATGCACCGCTCTGCAATATCCTATAGTGGACATGGGTTTCCTGACCAATGAGTACTAAAATTGTGTGCGACCCACCTATGTTCTCGTCAAAATGGAAACCCCTGAATCCCACCAGTTAGAAAAATATGACAGAATGTCAGATTTTTGGAATATATAAGTTCTTCAGAAGGTTATTAGGTATTGATTCCATTTTATTAATAGATATAAATATATTTAGATTACCTATTTTTCCTGTGTTTTAGTATTAATAGATTGTGTCTTTTATTCATCCAGTTGGTCTAAGTTACCAAGTTTGTGGGTTATGGAGATTGTAATATTCTTTATTCTTTTATCATCCATGGGATCTCTAATATAAAGGTCTCTTTTAATTCTTATATTATTAGGTTCGTGCAAAAATAATTGTGGTTTTGGACCATGAATTTTAAATTTTTATAACTAGGCTGCAACACATCTTTATTAATCAAAATAGAAACCATTACAATGGGCTGGGCGCAGTGGCTCATGCCTGTAATCCCAGCACTTTGGGAGGCTGAGGTGGGCGGATCACGAGGTCAGGAGTTTGAGACCAGCCTGACCAACATGGTGAAACCCCGTCTCTACTAAAAATACAAAAATTAGCCGGGTGTGGTGGCGTGTGCCTGTAATCCCAGCTACTCAAGAGGCTGAGGCAGGAGAATCACTTGAACCGAGGAGGCAGAGGTTGCAGTGAGCCGAGATCGCACCATTGCACTCTGGCCTGGGTGACAGAGTGAGACTCTGTCTTAAAACAAAGAAGAACCATTACAACCAACACACTTTTGCCAATGAGAAATAAGCTTGTTTATTCCATGCTTCAGGATTCGATGAACTCTTTGGAAAGCATTTTCTGCATCATGCTGGTTGTGGAAATATTTTCCCTGCAAAAAGTTGTCAAGATGCTTAAAGAAGTGGTAGTTGGTTGGCGAGAGATCAGATGAATATGGCAGATGAGGCAAAACTTTGTAGCCCAGTTTATTCAACTTTTGAAGCCTTGGTTGTATGACACGTGGTCAGGTGTTGTGGAGAATTGGCCCTTCCTGTTGACCAATGCTGGCTACAGGTGCTGCAGTTTTTGGTGCGTCTCATCAATAGCTGGGCGTACTTCTCAGATGTAATGATTTCACCAGGATTCAGAAAGCTGCAGTGGATCAGAAGACCATCAGCTGACCACCAAACACTGACCATGACTTTTTTTGGTGCAAGTTTGACTTTGGGAAGTGGTTTGGAGCTTCTCAGTCCAGCCACTGAGCTGGCTGTTGTATAAAATCCACTTTTCGTGGCATGTCACAATCTGATCAAGAAATGGTTCATTGTCGTTTCATAGAATAAGAGAAGACGACACTTCAAAAGGATGATTTTTTAAATTTTTGGTCAGCTCATGAGGCACCCACTTATCAAGCTTTTTCACCTTTCCAATTGGCTTCAAATGCCAGATGACCATAGAATGGCCGACGTTCAGTTCTTCACCAACTTCTCGTGTAGCTGTAAGAGGATCGGCTTCAATGGTTGCTCTCAATTGGTCGTTGTCAACTTCCGGTGACTGCCCACTATGTTCCTCATCTTCAAGCCTCTCGCCTCCTTTGCAAAACTTTTTTTTTTTTTTTTTTTTTGAGACGGAGTCTCGCTCTGTCACCCAGTCTGGACTGCAGTTGCGTGATCTCGGCTCACTGCAACCTCCGCCTCCCAGGTTCAAGCGATTCTCCTGCCTCAGCCTCCCGAGCAGCTGGGACTACAGGCATATACCACCACACCTGGCTAATTGTGTATTTTTAGTAGAGACGGGGTTTCACCATATTGGCCATGCTGGTCTCGAACTCCTGACCTTGTGATCCGCCCGCCTCAGCCTCCCAAAGTGCTGGGATTACAGGCGTGAGCCACCGCACCCGGCCTCTGCAAAACTTCTTGAACCACCATTGCACTGTACATTCATTAGCAGTTCCTGGCAAAATGCGTTGTTGATGTGAGTTGTCTCCGCTGCTTTACGACCCATTTTGAACTTGAATAAGAAAGTCGCTTGAATTTGCTTTTTGTCTAACATCTTTTCCATAGTCTAAAATAAGTAATAAGTCATTACAAAAAAAAAAAAGCAAGAAATGCCCATTAAAATGATGTATAACATAACCACATTTACTTAAGAGGGTATGCCGGTATCAAACAGCAAATTCCAAGAATG